>NC_000018.10:53033241-53333908 GCF_000001405.40 Homo sapiens | reverse complement strand
TATCTCAAGGAAGTAGTTGGGTATGTAAGTCTGGGATTTTGGTGAAAGGTCATGGCTAGATATACACAGATGTGGAAGCCATCAGCATATATGTGGTATTTAAAATAAATGTGTATGAATACAGATATAGTGTGAGCATGTATATAGAAAACTGCAATTAAGATCATGTTATTGCTCTGCTCAAAACCCCCCAAGGTGTTCTCAAACCACATTGTAGGCCATGTTCTTTACAATGGCCTAAAAGGCCATAAATGATCTCTCTCTCTCTCCACTTATCTCCTACCTTCTTCACCTGTCATTTTGCCTTCGTTCACCTCACTCCAGCCATCTACTCTACACTGGATACTTTGTTTTCCTCTTAGGGGACAGCAAGATTTGTCTGTGCCAGATCTTGGTAATGCAAACAGTCGCCACCACATACTGCCTGCTATAGATGGCACTGTCAAGTTGTGTCAGGCAGTTGGAACTTTTGACAAATATTCACACATTTGTCCTCCATTTAGCGTGCTGCATTTTATGGATCATTTTGTTAGAGTTTTGTTCTAGTCCTCAATAGCCTATATTTCTTTACAGCAAACTACATAAGGCAATTGATATACCCACACTCTGCCTTTCCAGGCATGTCTGATGCTTACAAATGTGTTCATTTCTATAGACAGGGCCTGTTCTCACCAAAGGACATCACTTCCCTTAGGCCGCTCACCTCTATAAACTTTAAAGGCTGTTTGTGTATTTATCATAGTGGACAACCACTTCTATTCACCACTGAACTCTACTTTGTATTCTTTTACCATCCTATTTCTAATATTTTGTCAATATTCTCCTTTTTTTTTTTTTTTGAGACAGGTTCTCACTCTGTCACCCAGGCTGGAGCGCAGTAGCGCAATGCTAGCTCACTACAGCCCTGACCTCTAGGACTCAAGTGATCTTCCCACCTCAGCCTCCTGAGTAGCTAGGACCACAGGCATGCACCACCACACTTGGCTAATTTTTAAAAGAAAATTTTTGTAGAAATGGGGTCTCCCTGTGTTGCCCAGGCTGGGAATATTCATTTTTAATTTATTTTAAAAATATATATGCAGCAACATTTACTTAGTGGTAATAGCTCTATGGGTTTTGATAAATGGGTAAAATTTTGGTATCCACCACTCCTGCCATAATACAGAAAAATCCCATCACTGCCAAAATTTCCTTAGGCTGCCCCTTTATAGTCAAGCCCTCCCCCAATCTCTCATTATTAATTTTAATAATGAACATTAATATTTTCCCCTCCATGAATGGAAAATCAGTTATTCCTACTAATATTTACTTATTGATTTGTATCATTAAAAATTTTCAAACCATATAGGTTTTATTCTTGTTCCTAATAATGACTAAACTTTATGGAGACCTATTATGCATGTGTCATACTCATCAATTTAACAAATTTTTGCTCATGTAGCATTTCACATATAGTTTGTACTCTTAGCTATTCTACAAATTTTGTTACTACCACAAGTTTTTACAGTTCAACATTGTTTTGTAATTTTTAACTGCATTTTGTCTTTTTGTTTACTTTTAATATGTGTTTTCTATTTATCTTAATAGTTTTGTGTCAACCTAATCTTATTATTTCATATTTTACTTTATTTTTAGCTACTTTTTTTGCCTAGATAGAAAAAGAATGTAGAAGTCTAACAGGAGTCGATGAATACCTAGCCAACACTCTTAAAAGGGAGTTTTGACAGCTCTACTTCTTGAAAACCACAACAATGAATTGTAATTCTGAAAATATGTGTCTCCTAAATCTAAGCCAATTAAACTGGTAGATCTAAGGATGGAGAATCTTTCTTCTCCCATGTCCTCCAATTCCCAATATCAACACGCTTACTCCTAGTGAAAAGAAACGTAGATGCTAAAATAATTCACCAGAATCCACATCCTCTCTGCACCTTTGTACACTTGCCTTTGCCTCACATTGGTTATAACTCAAAAGGAAAAAGAGGGAAAAATGTAAAGTATTTTTTAGGGAAGAGACCCTCAATGCCATGCCCAAGGTTTATCCTAACAAAACCATCAAGATTCTTCCCTTCCTTGATTTTCTCTTGCTCAGCAAAGCTGCAGAATCCCAATTCCAGATTACAGATAGGATTCAGCCCTTTTTTGGCCCAAAAATTAGACAAGCGTGGTCTCTGTCTATCAAGTTCTTGATTTGACAAGAATCACCAGGGAGTTAAGATACATATTTAGGGTAGCAGGTTGGCATGTCCAACACAATACAGAGAAAATACAATGAAGTTTGGTTTTATTTAAACACTGCCAACTTCCTGAAATACTGAGATAACCTAATCCTGACTGTTAGAGCAAATACTCTTGATGTGGCTTTCAAGGAGCAGCTGCAGACACCAGCCCTTCAATATCTGGGGATTGTTCTCTCACTTTAGAGTTTAAGGATACCAGCTTCAACTATTGCAAAACCTCACTAGAACTTTGTATCATTCTACCATGAAGCATTTGATCAGCTACCTTACACTGAATAATCTCCATGGCCATTCAAACCGTAAACCTTATTCTGTATGGGGAGGCAGAGATCTTAGTCCTTGCCAAGTGGTATGCTAAATGAATTCTTTAGGCTCATTTTCCTTGAAGTGGATTCAAACCGTATGCTCTCAAAACTACAGACCTATTGGTTTGTCTCAGAACAAACAAACAAAAACACCATTGTAACTCTAAAATCTTATGCCAAGCTGTCTTCTAGAAAGCTAGGGTTTTCATTTTCATATTGTATATAAGCATAATAGGATGCATTCTACATTTATGAAAAAATACAACAGAGAGCAATGGATGTTTCTAGCTCATTTATCTGAAATTAGAGTTCGTATGTAAGGATGAAAATCAGTGAAGAATCAAACTATGTAAGTGTTACACATTTCACACAAATACCCAGCTATGAATATTTTACATTCACCCATCCACTTATTATTGAGTACTATGTAGCAGGCACTGTGTGAAATATCGAGAAGTTCAAGACAAAGCATGGTCTTTGTTTCAAGTCTATTGAGAAGAGTGTCAAAATGTGTTTAGAGAAAAGACATCTGAGTGAAACTCAGATAAGAGAAAGCTTCCTAGAAGTAAAACATCTAGTGAGTTTTAAAGGACAAGCAGGTGTGAAATATATGTGAAAATACACTTGGGTAAAGAGCTTGCTAAGTCCAAAGGCTTGATCCAGGATGCAGCTGAGGAAGTGAACCTGGAGGGCAGTGCAGGTAGGCAGGCAGGATGGGATGTCACACTTGAGGCTGAGGGAAGGACCACATGGAGAAGAATCTGAGCAGCGAACTGACATCGTCATATCTGGTTCTGAAAAAATCACTCTGACAACACTATGGGGTCTAGAGAGGAGGGAGAGCAAACAGGTATCCAGAAAAATAGCAAACCTGAGGCTACTTTCAGGTGACAAATGATGTGAGCCTGACATAAAGTGTGGTGGTGGGTGTGGAGAAGGGAGGATGGATTCCAAATCCATTCTGAAGGTAGAAATTACAGATCTTGGTGATTGAATGGATATTGACAGGGAGTGAAATGGAGTTGAGGGTGATAGGGAGGCTTTTGGCTTGGATGACAAGTGATTATTGGTACTAGTCACAAAGTGAAGAATACAATCAATCTTAAGGGAAATGATACTTTGAAAGATCAGCTCAAAACCTCCAATTGTATAAAAAGACTTGTGGTTGAGTCACCCATCTTTGTTATATTTAAAAATACCTGAAGAAAAAATGATGACAAAATCCTTACAGCCACCTGGGGCCTTTCCAGTTTTGAATTATATAAGATGTGATGACTTTACCCTCCTTTGCCTTCAGTTCCATCACCAGAATCAACCACTGTCAACTAGTTTGATGTAAGAGAAGAAAAACATTTTCTGTTCTGCTAAAAGTACTGGCAATAGTTTCACACTATTTAGTAACTAATCTGCAGCTTGAGAAGCTAGCTTTATTTTTATATTTATTTCTCAAATATACCTAGATAGGGGCTGTTTCTATGTTCTGTTACATTTATCTGTCCATTCCAATGCCAGATAGTACTATGCTGATTCTAAATCAGGCTTTATAGTAAACGTTTTTATTATCCTTTTCCAAAATTTCTTGGGATTCTTTTACATTTATTCTTCCATATAAATTTCTTTTTCCACCCCAGAAAATCCTTAATCATTTAAAATTTACTCTGATTAGAATTGTCTAAAATTATTCATTGATTTGGAAATAACTAATGTAATAATGATCAGTTTTTTCATCCAGGAACATATGTAACTTGCTATTTACTCATGTCTTTTATAGTTTTTAGTAAAATGTTGTATTTTTTATGATATACATTTGTTTACATCTTGTTAAATTTAGTCCTAGATATTATATTTTAGGTTGCTTTATAAATGCCTTTCTTTTCAATGTTTAAACTAATTATTGCTACTATAAAGAAAAGCTATGTTTTTGAAACATACAACCTTATTAAATTCTCTTATTAGCTCTAATAGGTTTTTAGTGCAGTGTCTTGTAATATTCAAATATTCAATAACACCATTTATAATAATAAGATTTCTTTCCTTTTGTAATAAAATGTTATGAATTTTTAAAGTTTTTCTTGCCAAAACCTCTATCTTCTTTAATAACAGAAATTGTAGGAAGTTTTTAAGCTTGTTTGGATCTTAAAACAAATGTGTTTAGTATTTTACCATTTGGCATAATGTTTTAGTTTTTTGCAAAAACAATACAATTTTGAAAGCTTGCTTATATTCCTATAATATTTTTTTAAAAAACTGCCTAATTCCACAAAACGCCCTCTTCAATCTATTGCTATAATTATATGATGCCCCATTAAATTATACCTTAATTAGATGATGGGCTTTTAAGATGTACTGAATGTACACTCTCCTTTTGTAACAGAAATGGATACATCTGTTCCCTAAATGTAGACAACAAAGCTTTACCATCATGAACAAGGAGAAGTTTCATAAAACCAATGGTCTGAGTATTTCATATTACTGTCAGAAAGAACTGCAGTCATGGCCAGGTGCAGTGGCTCATGCCTGTAATCTCAGCACTCTGGGAGGCTGAGGCAGGCAGATCACCTGAGGTCAGGAGTTCAAGAGGCAGGCAGATCACCTGAGGTCAGGAGTTCAAGACCAGCCTGGCCCACGTGGTGAAACCCTGTCTCTACTAAAAATACAAAAATTAGCCAAGCATGGTGGTGGATGCCTGTAATCATAGCTACTCAGGAGGCTGAGGCAGGAGAATCACTTGAACCCGAGAGGTGAAAGTTGCAGTGAGCCGAGATCACACCATTGCACTCCAGCCTTGGTGACAGAGCCAGATTCTGTCTAAAACAGCAGCAGCAACAACAACAACAACACAACAGTCAAAGTCTGAGATCTTCTTATGTATCAAAACCAGAAAAATCAGAAGAACAACACACTGTTGAGCACTTTGTTGCCATTATCATAGTTAATTCTCACAAAAACCCACTGTGATGGATACTGTTGTTATGCCCTCTTTACACATGAGAAAAACCAAGGCATGGGAAAGTTATTTGCCCAAGAATATAGGGTAAATGGAGCTGGATCCAAACCTAGTCATTAAGACTGCAAAACCCACCTGATCCTTTACATGGTACTTAGAAAAAAGTCAAGCAACTCATAGAAGGATCAGACATTCCATGGGCACATTAAAGTTTGTTATAACCAAGTAAAATACTTGCAACTTCACTGAACTTTTATCTAAGTCAAAGCAACCTGTGCCATCCTTTGTACAGTGGAACTTTGAGATTCTGAACAACCACTTGCACCGGAACTGAAACAGATACCATATTGCTTTTAAAAATCAGTTTTTGCTTTGCCTGCTATGCTCCTTATGTGTAAGATGAAATCCACTTGAATGGTAATAAGGGGCTGAGTCTTAAATTTCACAGTGGAATAGCTACTGTACCACTGGTCCATCAAATTCCCCAAGCCTATCTGTCAATTATCATAAATCATAGCATATCATAAATCACAGAATATCATAAATGGTCCCTATCAAAAGTACAAGAAAGAAAATCTATTCTATGACATGCCACCTTCACTCCTCTGTGCACACCAAATCCCATATGAGCATCAAGTGAAATCACCAGAAGAACACATTCTTTTGCTCACTGGTGTAAATCGCACTCCTTACCCCAATTCTTAAATGAAATGAATTTGCAGCGAACCCATTTATTACCAGTTTGGGTTAATAAGGCTGATTACCTATTTCCTGGGGGCAAGAAATTAGGGCCAGCTCCTAGATTCACATTTTTTTGCTGCATCACTGTTGCACTTTCTTAAGTCTGCACTGCCGACTTTTGATAGCTAAACTCCTCCACTTCAGGGTAGAGAGTCGATTTTAAATCACATGATTATTGATAGCGTATAGCAATTTTCACCTCTTCACTCCAAAAACAAAAGTATCATAAACAGATTTCCAAGCTCAGTTTCTTGAAGGATACTTTGTTGAACTCTATCACTCTATCACAAATTCTCTCATTTCTTTATGCAAGACATTTACATGAAAACCCTAGGGAATTCTAATGATCTTGGTTTGCTTTTTTTTTTAAGCTGAAATTTTGAGGCACAAAATAAATATTTTAAAACTTCCCAGCTGTCAGTAATAGCAACGTGCTTTCCAGGGAACGCTGAACAAACAATGTGGTTTGGTTTTATAATTACTTTAACAAAACATCTAATTAAAAGGGCAATCCAAGAGGACTTGGGGTATTTCTCCAAGCTACAGTTATCTTCACAATGCTTAAGCCAAGTTGAGAAGGCAAGAGGAACTACAGAAGTCACAGGAGGCAGGGGTTTCCTTTAACAATCTGCAAATAGCACTGTTTCTGTTTAGCTGACTTGCAGGGCTCAGAGTTATGCAGTAATGAGTAGATCATTCTCTTGGCGATCACCATCAGGCTCTGAAGCAGGGGGGTAAGTTATACAACATAATGCATCCAGAGAGGCCTAATGATGCAGTTACCTTCCAACACAGATATCTTCAGCTACAGCAAAGAATGCCTCCCATTTCATGTGGTTTAAAATGATTGCTTTTTCTCCTTATCCTTAATTTTTGGGAGATCAAAGCAATTCTATATGGAAATTTCTCACTTCAGAGTGTTAGGACTCAAAATTTAGGACCCAAAGCTTTCCAACATTAGCCAAGAAACTTTTGGTGCAAGTCATTTATACCTTATTTTATGATTTAAACATTTACACAAATACATTAAAATGAGATGAATATTTAAGGAAATCTTTTTAAAAATAGAGCAAACTAGCAGGTTGAATGTTCTTTTGTACCTACCAGTGACCACTATTGATCTTGTTCATTCCTTCAAATATTAATTTCCATCAAGGGTTACACTTTTTAATATATGAATGGTGCAATCAAAAGAAGAAAACCAGAAGGAAAGAAAGGAAACCAAAATCACTTTGAGGAAGTATCACAGTTGAAAGTGATCATGGATCAATAAATTGAGAAGGCCTTTGGTATTATCAATTTTTTACAGCAAGTAAAACATACACATCCCACATATTTATGCAGTTAAATGCTCTGAAATGGCTTTCAGTTTTCATTATGTCTAAATGTGAACAATCTCAAATCATAACGTGTAACAGCATTTTGTGCAAGAAGTATCAATTCTACTGTCTTTCTTCTATTAATTTTTTATTTATCTTTTTCAGATTGCTTATGTGTATATCACAGGAAAGGATAAGACTGTCTTTGCAATTCTCATCCATAAGAAAACATAAGAGAATGAGAAAAAAGTTGATATTTGTGTGGAAATATGTTTTGACAATTGACTGGTAAGGGAGTAACAGTTGGATGAGTGAGGATGCATTTTGAATTAATAGTGGCAGAAATCATTTTCTCAAGGCAATATTTCCTTGAAAAATGTCTTCTATGCTGTCCTACACACACTTCCTTACAATCCTAGCTGTCAGAACCCCCTTTCTCTGAAGTTTGTAGTTCAAGTTCTACGTGTTTTTATGAAATCTTTTCTAATCAGTGCAGCCATTATCTGTCTGGTTCTCAATAGAGCTGTTCTTGCTGTTTTCATGTTTGTACTCCCCATGATTCAGCACACGGTAAATTCTTAAACCATATTTTGTAATAATTACAACCATACCCAAAGAAAAAGAAGGAATGTTGCATGTACAAGAGGGCCATTATTAAGCCAAGAGCATAGAAAAGTTCAAACAAATCCAATTAAAAGCATTTATTAAGACTCTCATGAGCATGGCATAGAGATTCTTGATTGAAATAGATGTATAAATTGGATTACAGTTAGACTGCATTGATATGAAAAACATGGAGTTAAATGAAAAATTTTGTGTCTTCTAATAAGTGGTGACTTTATATTTTGGTTCTACTTAAGTTGTGACTCATTCAGAGTCAGGAAAAAGAGCACATAAGTCAAGTAGAGCGTCTGTTTCATTCTGGATATTTTGTAAGACCTTCAGCACCTCTGCTTCATTTATTTTCTCTCCTTCCAGTAAGAGATATAACCCCTTAGGTTTGGGTAAATAACGTGATCTCACTTCTTAGAATCGTTTGTTTGCCTTGAATCACTGTGTTTATGGTCATCAAGTCATTTCTACAGGATTAGTGGAGGCTTTTCTCTGATCACCTACACTGGACCTCAAAGCATAAAACTTTTTTTTTTTTTTTTTTTTTTGAGATGGAGTCTTGCTTGCTCTGTCTCACAGGCTGGAGTGCAGTGGCACAATCTCGGCTCACTGCTACCTCTGCCTCCCGGGTTCAAGCAATTCTCCTGCCTCAGCCTCCTGAGTAGCAGGGATTACAGGTATGCACCACCACGCCCAGCTAATTCTTGTATTTTTAGTAGAGACGGGGTTTCACCATGTTGGCCAGGCTGGTCTTGAACTCCTGACCTCAAGTGATCCACCTGCCTTGGCCTCAAAACCTAATTTTGAGCTCCACAGTTGCTAGCTGACTACTTGATTAAGTTAGTTAAATTTTCATAGCTTAACTTAGTCTCCCATAAAATAAGGCTAATAATGTATACTTCATAAGGGTAGATGAAAGGATAAAACATAAATCTATAAAATTTGAAGCTTAATTCTTAGGTAAATAAGTTAAAATAGAAAAAAATAACTATTTATATAGTTTATTGTGACCACTCTTCTATTTTTTTACATAAGACAAATTATAACCTCATGACTTTGGCATCCTTCTTGCCATATATATCTCAATCACCAATTAGGCTCTATTCAGGATGACTGTTCTTGATTTTTCTTCTACTTGAAGGGCTCTAGTCTGACCTATTCGCATGGCTTCCCCTTCACTTCCTTAAAGTCTGGGTTCATGTTTCATCTAAACAGAAAGATTTTCTCAGTTCCTTATATAAAGCAGTAGTTTCTAATCCTTGCTATCCCCTCTACCATGCTTCTTCAGAGCACCTATCACTATCTACCTCCATCTGAATACAACTTATACTCCTTGGGTGTATAGACTTTATTTATTGTTTTATCTCTAGTACCTAAGGTAATATCTTGCATATATAGACCTTTAATAAGAAATGTAAGTTGAATAAACACATGAATGAAAGTTTTCTAAGCTATTAGTGATGGGTATGAACTCTGTGAAATGTGACTTTTTCTAGCTCCACAACTTTTCAATTATATAACCTAAGACAAGTTAAATAATATCTCTAAGCCTCAAGTTACTTTTTTTAAACTCCTATATTACCTCTAGGGTTGTCTTAAAGTCATTGCCTGGGTTTGCCTACTTAGAATACTTTTTTGTGTGTGCATGCTTCAGCCAGAGTAATCTCTACAAAATGCAATTCTAATTAATTCACTATTTTTTTAAATCAACCTTTGAGGACTTGCTTAAAACAAAGTAAGTTATTGACTTAGACATCCTTAGACAATGTTTAAAATTCTTAACTTTGTCTTGTCAGATTTGGAACCTGCTTATCTTACAAACTTCATCATATGCCAACTCTGTGTTTCATTCTTGATGGCCTTTTTCAGTCCCCAAACAGCATCATTGTCTTGACTTTAAAAACCACATTTACCTTACTCACTATTCCTTCCCCTCAATCGCCAATGTATTTTTGCATACCTAATTCTTATTCATCCTTCAGGTCTCAATTTAAATGCAAGTCTGTCTGTTTGCCTGATGGTCTATCCATCCATCCATCTATCCAACCTTCCAACCTTCCAACCATCCAACCATCCAACCAACCAACCACCATCCATCCATCCATCCATCCACCCATCCTAAGTTGAACTGTAGTTTTCAAGTACCCAATCAGGTTTTAACTACAACAATGGCAACTTCCTATACTTCACCTAAAATGTCTGTCTTTCTTTGCTATTCTCCAAGCTCCATGAGAAAAGAACCAAGTGTTTCTTAGTTATTATTGTATCAAAGCTCAGCATGGTGCCTGATGCTTAGTAAGACTTCTATAAACATTCTTTGAATTAATATGCAGTCACATGGCAGAGATTAACATTATTATGGAAATATCAACTGTTGATTGTTTAATGCTACCATAATTATTTTAGTAAAACCAAATTTGTGGCTATAGAAAAATCATTAATGATAGTGAGGTATTCAAAAAGAGAAAAAGAGGAAGACAAAGGAGAAAGAGAATGAGATGGAGGAGTTCAAGAAAGAGGAAGGATGACATGAGAAAGTAATACAAGAACTAGGAAAAGAGTTAAAGTGAGGAAGACATGGAAAGAGAGATTTAAAAACGGAAGGGAAAAGAAAGGAATATAGAGTTTTTACTCTCAATTTTTACTGGAATAATTTCAGATGTATCAGTTAAGGAGTAAGAGAATTTCATTGTTAGATATAATAGGCAATTATCTTGTGCTGTCACATTTTCAATACATACGAGTTTATCTTTACATCTACCTTTAATTGACACTAGTTTTGATTACTTAGATTTAAGAATACTTATCATATCTTACTTCTTTTCCAAGGACCTCTCATTTTTATGAATTCTTACCTTTTAAATTTCTAACTCTAATTCTATATATTTCTGCTTTATTATTTAATGTTTTATTCTGTCACTTCATTACCCATTCATTTTAAATTTTATTTTAAAAATTTAGTCATGATGTTTTTATTTCCAGAGCAATTTCTCATTTGCTAATTTTGAGGATTATGCTTATATTTAATTTATTAATATATAAATCTTATATGAATCCTAATATCCTACTGATAAATGTTTCAGGACAACTATCAGCTAAGCAAATAAAGTAAGTTGTCTTTTATACCAAGAAAAGGTAATGATAATATCATAAGCAAGTAAAAAAATACATATAGATGTTTTTCAAAAGCCTCATAAAAAAGCAAGAGAAGCTATATTATATAGTTATAGTTCATGATTACTATTATAAATTACACTAATTCTTGTGAACGAAATGGTTAAGGTCAGTTATTCAAAATAAAATAAATAGAAAATATCTTATTTCAGATGATCTTGAAAACAAGTAACTTGTTTTGAGGACCATGATTATTGCATAATCAATGCTATGTCATTCATGGTCTGGCATTATTTACATGGCATTGTTGAAGACTATGTATTCACTAATGTTTCCCTGTTGTGTTTTGCATGTGAACATATAGTAAGAATCAATGTCCCCAAAGTTGGAGTTCATTCCTTTTTTAAGAGACCTTTTGAAGCTGAGATAACAAGAAGATAATCAGAGTGATAGTAACTGGGAAAAAGTCTTACCATCTAGATCATTCTCTGGAGTCTCTGCAGTATACCAGTTGGAAGGTGGTCCAGTACCATTGACTGTCATGGCTGACACCTGGAAACTGTACTGACTTCCTTTCTCCAGTCCTATGAAAGAATTTTCCACAGGGGGGAAGAAAGTTACTATGCACCAAGTATTCCTACCTGGGTTTCCAAAAGCTTCAGCAAAATTGTAACAATAGTGGACATGCTTTACATTGTTTGTGACTGTTGTGGTAATGATTATTTTGACTAAAAGGGTAGAAATATCATAGCAAGAAATCAAATTAATTTTTATACATTCTTATGAGTTTTTTTCCAGTTTATAAAAATGTGTCCATGTAAATAGCCTCAGGGCAGATGCAGAATATAAAATATAAATGATGAAGAAATAATCAAAAATTACATGGATAATTTTTCCTTACTGTTCAGAAGATCCACGTCTATAAATCAAGAACAGTCAATCTAAAAATTTATGTCTCCATCATTCATTCAAGGTCTGTGATTATGTTTTCTTTAGGCCAAAAATCAAGAATCCAAAGAAAATGCACTTCAGAAGAAAATATTAGGGCTTTTGTCTCTTAAAACCATCTTTCAAGAATATTTTGTTTTGCATTAGCTTCCACACAAGAGATATAGAAAATCAATCCCTATGATGATTTTGGCATAATATTGTGCACAATGATCACATTAGGGCTTATTTCAAAACGCACAGAGAACATAGGTAAACTAGAGAGACCACATGGATCATTTATCTGATATATGAAAATTTTTGATGTAAGTGACTTTCCTCTTACAAAAAGCTGAAAGTAGCTCATTAACATGATAAATTATTGTAAAATAAATGATATTTGTGAAAAGACCATAGGACATTTTTGAGACTCAGACTAAATGATCAAGTCCTTAAACCTCAAGGAATTAAACAACGCTGATAAAGATAAAAATGTAACTGTTATCCCCCATTCATCTGAAATAGTGCAAATATTTGGTGTCAAGAAAAAAATGCATAATAAAAGTAATTACGCTCATGTACAAAATTACATATTTGAAGATTTTTTGCATAGGAAGATGAATACTTAGTAGTAAGGGGAATTCAAACTTACTACTAATAGGAGATGGTATTTTAAATAATGGTTAGAAAGGATTAGTTATTGTCAAGGAACAAACAGTTGCCTTCAATAGACGGTACTATTAGACCATTTGATAAATTCACCTACATAATATCTATAACACAAATTTCTGTCCTCTAAAGAAGCTTCTAATTTTATAAAATAGACTAGAAGCTCCATGAAGACATATATTGAGACTATCATTGGTGCTCTTATCTTTGTTATTAATATTATTCAGGTTTTAATTGCATATTCATAGGGCCCACAATAGTACCTGAAGCAGGGAAGATGCACACACAAAACAATACTTGAAAAATCCACTAAAACTAAAACTTAACATAAAGAAAACATTAGGTTAATATACAGCATTCAACCACATCAACAAGATGGCAAAGAGATGCTTCCAACATAAGGCCTTTGTCATTCCTTAAGTAGGCTCGTGCTCACTTTGATTTGTTAACATGGTATTGATCTAATTTTGTTCATCTTTTTCACCATTTAGTAGGCACTGTTGTTGATTACAGAGGCAGAGGGGTTACAGAGATTTTCTGGGAAATTAAAAAATTAATAGGGAGAGAACTCTGAGAAGAAATGGTTACCTACTCATAACAGCTTATGACTTTCATAATGCTCTTATTTAAAATAAAGTTCTAATCCATCAAAAATGTACTCTTGGCCGGGCGCGGTGGCTCATGCCTGTAATCCCAGCACTTTGGGAGGCCGAGGCGGGCGGATCACAAAGTCAGGAGATCGAGACCATCCTGGCTAACACGGTGGAACCCCGTCTCTACTAAAGATACAAAAAATTAGCTGGGAGTGGTGGTGGGCGCCTGTGGTCCCAGCTACTCGGGAGGCTGAGGCAGGAGAATGGCATGGACCCGGGAGGCAGAGCTTGCAGTGAGCAGAGACCATGCCACTGCACTCCAGCCTGGGTGACAGAGTGAGACTCCATCTCAAAAAAAAAAAAAAAAAAAAGTACTCTTGCGTTATGTAGAAGTTTAACTTCATTTTTCTTTAAAATGAATAAACAATCATGTCAATACTGTCTCCAGTGATTGATTTGAAATATCCTCTGTGATGGTCAGTTATATGTATCAACTTAGGTGGCTACAGCACCCAGTTATTCAATCCAACACTAACTGAGGTATTACTGTGAAGGTATTTTGTCGATGGGAATAAGTCCATATGTAGTTGACTTTAACTAAGAGATATTGCCGTAATCTATTTGGATGGCCCAGATTCATTCAGATAAAAGACCTTAAGTGCAGAACTGAGGCTGCCCTGAGGCAGAACTTCTGCCCTGCCATGGCTGTGGACTTAGCTTGAGAGCTCCAGCCTGCCCCTCTTAATGGCCTGCCCAGTGATTTTTGAATTGCCTGGCCAGCCATCATAACCACTTAAACCAATTCCTTGCAATACTTTTCTTAGTATGTATTTCCTGCTGGCTTTCTTTCTCTGGTGAAAATCTGACTGATATACCTGTTTTAAGCAAAGCAAAGTCTGCTAACAACTTGAAGTTATCATTAGAAAGCAATTTAGATCTTTGTGGCTTTAAAGTCTGTTTTATCAGAGATTAGGATTGCAACCCCTGCTTTTTTTTCTTCTTTCTTTCCATTTTCTCGGTAAATATTCCTCCAGCCCTTTATTTTGAGCCTATGTGTGTCTCTGCAAGTGAGATGGGTCTCCTGAATATAGCACATCAATAGGTCTTGACTCTTTAACCAATTTGCCAGTCTGTATATTTTAATTGGGGCATTTAGCCTACTTACATTAAAGGTTAATATTATTATGTGTGAATTTGATCCTGTCATCATGATGCTAGCTGGTTATTTTGCCCATTAGTTGATGCAGTTTCTTCATGGTGTCAATGGTCTTTACAATTCGGTATGTTTTTGCAGTGGCTAGTACCAGTTTTTCCTTTCCATATTTAGTGCTTCCTTCAGGAGCTCTTGTAAGGCAGGCCTGGTGGTGACAAAATCTCTCAGCATTTGCTTGTTTGTAAAGGCTTTTATTTCTTCTTTGCTTATGAAACTTAGTTTGGCTGGATATGAAATTCTGGGTTGCCAATTCTTTTCCTTAAGAATGTTGAATATTGGCCCCCACTATTATCGGACTTGCAGTGTTTCTGCAGAGAGATCTGCTATTAGTCTGATGGGCTTCCCTTTGTGGATAACTTGACCTTCCTCTCTGGCTGCCCTTAACATCTTTTCTTTCATTTTAACCTTGGTGAATCTGACCATTATGTATCTTGGGGTTGCTTTTCTCAAAGATCACAAAAAAAAAAAAAAAAAAACCCAACGAAGAAGGGCATTATATAATGGTAAAGTGATCAATGAAACAAGAAGAGCTAACTATCCTAAATGTATATGCACCCAATACAGGAGCACCCAGATTCATAAAGCAAGTTCTTAGGGACCTACAAAGAGACTTCGACTCCCACTCAATAATAGTGAGAGACTTTAACACCCACTGTCAATATTAGACAGATCAATGAGACAGAAAATTAAGAAGGCTATTCAGGACTTGAACTCGGCTCTGGACCAAGAGGACCTAACAGACATCTACAGAACTCTCCACCCCAAATCAACAGAATATACATTCTTCTTAGCACCACATCGCACTTATTCTAAAATTGACCACATAATTGGAGGTAAAAAAACTCCTCAGGAAAGGCAAAAGAATGAAAATCATAACAAATAGTCTCTTAGACCACAGTGCAACCAAATTAGAACTGAGGATTAAGAAACTCACTCAAAACCACACAACTACATGGAAACTGAACAACCTGGTCCTGAATGCCTACTGGGTAAATAAAGAAATTAAGGCAGATATTGATAAGTTCTTTGAAACCAATGAGAACAAAGACACAACATACTACAATCTCTGGGACCCAGCTAAAGCAGTGTTTGGAGGGAAATTTATAGCACTAAATACCCACAGGAGAAAGCAGGAAAGATCTCAAATCGACACCCTAATATCACAATGAAAAGAACTAGAGAAGCAAGAGTAAACAAATTCAAAAGCTAGCAGAAGACAAGAAATAACTAAGATCAGAGCAGAAATGAAGGAGATAGAGACACAAAAAACCCTTCAAAAAAATCAATGAATCCAGGAGGTGATTGTTTGAAAAGATTAACAAAATAGACCACTAGCCAGACAAATAAAGAAGAAAAGAGAGAATAATCAAATAGACACAATAAAAGATGATACAGGGGAGATCACCACTGATCCCACAGAAATACAAACTACCATCAGAGAATACTATAAACACCTCTATGCAAATAAACTAGAAAATCTAGAAGAAATGGATAAATTCCTGGACACATATGCCCCCTGCCCGCTGCAAGACTAAACCAGGAAGAAGTCGAATCCCTGAGTAGAACAATAGCAAGTTCTGGAATTGATGCAGAAATAGCCTACCAACCAAAAAAAGCCTGGGACCAGATGGATTTATAGCCGAATTCTACCACAGGTAAAACGATGAGCTGGCACCATTCCTTCTGAAACCATCCAAACAACAGAAAAAGAGGGACTCCTCTCTAACTCATTTTATGAGGCCAGCATCATCCTGATACCAACACCTGACAGAGACACAACAAAAAAAGTAAATTTCAAGCCGATATCCCTGATGAACATCAATGTGAAAATCCTCAATAAAATACTGGCAAACCGAATCCAGCAGTATATCAAAAAGCTTATTCACCATAATCAAGTTGGCTTCATCCCTGAGATGCAAGGCTGGTACAACATATGCAAATCAATAAACATAATCCATCACATAAACAGAACCATATGATTATCTCAATATTTTGAGATATTTTGTCACAAAGACAAAACCTACATGATTACCTCCATAGATGCAGAAAAGGCCTTTGATAAAATCCAACACCTCTTCATGCTAAAAACTTTCAATAAACTAGGTATTGATGGAACGTATCTCAAAATAATATGAGCTACTTATGACAGACACACAGCCAATATACTGCATGGGCAAAAGCTGGAAGCATTCCCTTTGAAAGCCGGCACAAGACAAGGATGCCCTCTCTCACCATCCCTATTCAAAATAGTATTGGAAATTCTGGCCAGGGCAATCAGGCAAGAGAAAGAAATAAAGGGTATTCAGATAGGAAGAAAGGAAGTCAAATGGTCTCTGTTTGCAGATGACCTAATTGTATATTTAGAAAACCCCATCATCTCAGCCCCAAATTTCCTTAAGCTGTTAAGCAATGTCAGCAAAGTCTCAGGATACAAAATCAATGTGCAAAAATCACAAGCATTCCTATACACCGATAATAGCCTAACCATAAGTGAACTCCCATTCACAATTGCTACAAAGAGAATAAAATACCTAGGAATACAACTTACAAGGGATGTGAAGGGTGTCTTCAAGGAGAACTACAAACCATTGCTCAAGGAAATAAGAAAGGACACAAACAAATGGAAAAACATTCCATGCTCATGGATAGGAAGAATCAATATCATGAAAATAACCATACTGCCAAAAGTAATTTATAGATTCAATGCTATTCCTGTTAAGCTACCATCGACTTTCTTCACAGAATTAGAAAAAAAAAAACTTCTTTAAATTTCATATGGTTTCAAAAAAGAGCCTGCATAGCCAAGATAATCCTAAGCAGAAACAACGAAGCTGGAGGCATCAGCCTACCTGACTTCAATCTATACTATAAGCTACCGTAAACAAAACAGCATGGTACTGGTACCAAAACAGATATATAGAGCAAAGGAACAGAACAGAGGCCTCAAAAATAACACCACACATCTACAATCATCTGATCTTTGACAAACTAGAGAAAAACAAGCAATGGGGAAAGGATTCCCTATTTAATAAATGATGTTGAGAAAACTGGCTAGCCATATGCAAAAAACTGAAACTAGACCCCTTCCTTACACTTTATATGAAAATTAACTCAAGATGGATTAAAGACTTAAATGTAAGACCTAAAACCATAAAAACCCTAGAAGAAAACCTAGGACATAGGCATGGCCAAAGACTTCATGACTAAAACACCAAAAGCAATGGCAACAAAAGCCAAAATTGACAAATGGGAGCTAATTAAACTAAAGAGCTTCTGCACAGCAAAAGAAAGTATTATCAGAGTGAACAGGTAACCTACAGAATGGGAGAAAAATTTTTTTAATCTATCCATCTGACAAAGGGCTAATATCCAGAATCTACAAGGAACTTAAACAAATTTACAAGAAAAAAACAAACAATCCCATCAAAAAGTGGGCAATGGATATGAACAGACAATACTACTACAAAAGAAGACATTCCTGGGGCCAAAAAATATATGAAAAAAAAAGCTCATCACTGGTCATTAGAGAAATGCTAATCAAAACCACAATGAGATACCATCTCATGTCAGTTAGAATGGTGATCATTAAAAAGTCAGGAAACAACAGATGCTGGAGAGGATGTGGAGAAATAGGAATGCTTTTACACTGTTGGTGGGAGTGTAAATTAGTTCAACCATTGTGGAAGACAGTGTGGCGATTCCTCAAGGATCTAGAATCAGAAATACCAATTGACCCAGCGATCCCATTACTGGGTATATACCCAAAGGATTATAAATCATTCTACTATAAAGACACATGCACATGTATGTTTATTGCAGCACTATTCACAATAGCCAAGACTTGGAACCAATGCAAATGCCCATCAATGATAGACTGCATAAAGAAAATGTGGCATATATACACCATGGAATACTATGCAGCCGTAAAAAGGATGGGTTCATGTCCTTTGCAGGGATATGGATGAAGCTGGAAACCATCATTTTCAGCGAACTAACACAAGAAGAGAAAACCAAACACCACATGTTCTCACTCATAAGTGGGAGTTGAACAATGAGAACACATTGACACAGAGAGGGGAACATCATACACCAGGTCCTGTCAGGGAGTGGGGGGCTAGGGGAGGGATAGCTTTAGGAGAAATACCTAATGTAGATGACGGGTTAATGGGTGCAGCAAACCACCACGGCATGTGTATACCTATGCAACAAATCTATACTTCCTGCACATGTATTCCAGAACTTAAGTTATAATAATAATAAAAAGAAAGCAGTTTAGAGGCCATCTAGTGTATTGTAAGTATTTCCCCAAAGGGATCTCACCTGGCCAGGCTATACTATTTATCAGAGTATCCCTTCCAACCATATACAGTAGGGGAGCTCTTCATATCTTCCTTTCTATTACATCTGCAGGGAAGTTTTAGCATCCTGTAGAGATTAGTGCCTCAGGTCACTCTGAAAATCCTGCCAAATGTCTTTGAAGTATTATATTTTATCCTTAAAACACCTTCAACTTTGCTGGGCTGTGGAATCTAACTACAAACACCTAAAAAAGCTAGGTTAAGTATAAAAAAAATTTAGATATGTATAGAATCCCATTATTAAAGAAAATCTTCAGTAATATCTAGTCAAATGGCTCATATAATGCTGAATATCTAACAAAGTGTCCCTGTAAATAAAGCAGGAATACTTTTGTTGGATGAGAAATTCAGCAACGGAGATAACTCACCTTCAAGTTTTGCTTTTTAGAAAAGTTCTTCCTTAGGTTGCACTGAATCTGATTTACCATAGTATCACTTACAGATAGACTGCACTAGTTTTATCCTAGTGGGATAAAAACAAATTAAGTTTCTCCTATAAAACATGTTTATCCAAGACTTTGGATTCTAAATTCGGTAACTTTTTTATCAAACCTTTATCAAGAAAATTTAACTTGCGATCCTTTTTTTATACCCAAGTAAGTGCATGATATAAAGCAGAAGCAGAAATTTTGACTTTTCAGAGAAGCAGTCTGGACATTACCTTTAGAATTCCAGGTTTCAGGTGGCCCTGCTTCTATGCTGTGATTTGTTTGGGAAAATTTTAGATGTACTGGAGGCTCTTTTAATAGCTATTTCCTATCTAACGTGATTAAGTAATAATACATGCTTCCACTTTATAGTGTTTCTTGTGAGGGTCAAATGAAAAATTGCCTGTAAAAGTGATTTATAAAATCAAGCGTTTCATAGATGTAGTGATAACTGACATTGGCACAGTGATTTCCAGGTTACTTTCTTGATTTTTCAAATACCCTGCGATTTTGGCGCAGAATACATGATTGGTCCCATTTTAGAGACATGAATAAGGCTCAGAGAAATTAAGCTAACGTATTATGGTGTTTTAGTTAAAGCTTGGACTATCCTTGGGTAAAGAATCTTGACTCTGTTCTGTCTCTTGCTGGGCACCTTCAAAGGCCCACATGCCCTATGCTAGAACCCAAGAGAGACATTAGCAACAAATTTAAAGCACTATGCAGGCATGGAAGAAATATCTATCTATGATCACTACATCAGACTTGAATAATAGGCAGGTAGGGAGGTTAAAATTGATGATTCTATTATTTTTGACAGTGGATCAAGCTAAGAAATCAGTAATATCCAAAATTCAGTCTCAAGAAGAGTTAATTTGTTCTCTTGCTTAGAAATGCGGCCGGGAGCGGTGGCTCAAGCCTGTAATCCCAGCACTTTGGGAGGCCGAGGCAGGCGAATCACTTGAGGTCGGGAGTTCCAGACCAGCTTGGTCAACATGGTGAAACTCCGTTTCTACTAAAAATACAAAAATTAGCCTGACGTGGTGACGCACGTCTGTAATCCCAGCTATTCAGGAGGCTGAGGTGGGAGAATCACTTGTACCCGAGACGCGGAGGTTGCAGTGAGACGAGATCGTGCCGCTGCACTCAACCCTGGGCCACAGAGCGAGACTCTGTCTTCAAAATAATAATAATAACAATAATAAATAAATAAATATACCCTATTAGAGAAAAGAGTTATCTTCCAGAGTTATACCAACAATAACCACCACCAAGCAATTTTTGGGGGCCCCAACTCTGATAGCTGATATCAGAAGATCTTTCAATGTTGCTTTCTTTCCTTCCCTCCCTTCCTTCCTTTTTCCTTCCTTCCTTTCCACCCTTTCCTTCCCTCCCTTCTTCCCTTTCCTCCTTCTTCCCTTCCTTTCTTCCTCCCTTCCTTCCTCCCTCCTCCCTCCCTCCTCCCTTCCTCTCCCCACTCCCTCCTCCCTTCCCTCCCCTCCCTTTCCCTTCCCTCCCCTCCCCTCCCTTTCCCTTCCCTCCTCTCCCCTCCCTTTCCCTTCCTCTCTCTCTTTCATTGGAGGTGGAGTAAAGAGAAGGCAGTCTGTAATTAAAAGCTTTTTTTTTTTTTTTTTGAGACAGTGTCTTGCTCTGTCGCCCAGGCTGGACTGCAGTGGCACAATCTCGGCTCACTGCAAGCTCTGCCTCCCCGGTTCAAGCCATTCTCCCGCCTCAGCCTCCCGAGTAGCTGGGATTACAGGCGCCTGCCACGACGCCCGGCTAATTTTTTGTATTTTTAGTAAAGACGGGGTTTCTCGATCTCCTGACCTCCTGATCTGCCCTCCTCGGTCTCCCAAAATGCTGGGATTCAGGCTTAAGTTACCACGTCCGGCCAATTAAAAGCTTTTTTTTTTGTATGTATATTTTGAAAAGCTGTTATCTTAGATCTAGTTCCTGAACTGGGATAATAGGAATATTTTTAAAAATTTAAATAATTTGGCCAGGAAAGCTTTTATTTAATATGTTCTAGAGTTAGTCAGCTCCTCTAGCTGTATGGTAATCTTTATCTTTTTCTTTTTCTTTTTTTTTTTTTTTTTTTTTTTGAGACAGAGTCTGGCTCTGTCGCCCAGGCTGGAGGGCAGTGGCGCAATCTCGGCTCACTGCAAGCCCCACCTCCCGGATTCATGCCATTCTCCTGCCTCAGCCTCCTGAGTAGCCGGGACTACAGACGCCCGCCACCACCACACCAGGCTAATTTTCTTTTTCTTTTTTTTTTTTTTTTTTTTTTTTGTATTTTTAGCAGAGACAGGGTTTCACCGTGTTAGACAGGATGGTCTCGATCTCTTGACCTCGTGATCCGCCCGCCTCGGCCTCCCAAAGTGCTGGGATTACAGGCATGAGCCACCGCGCCCTACCCACTGTATGGTAATCTTTAAGTTTTATTGTCCAATAGACATCTTTTTCCATCCTTGTGTTTTTCTCCTATCCCTTTTAATACTGATACAATCACGAATGCATTGCCTACGGTGAGAAACACATTATTTACAGTTTAAGAGGTAAGAATATAGGTTTTCTATTCAGGCAGTATTAGGTTTGAATTTTCATTCCATTACTTATTAGCTGGTTGACCATGAAAAACCAGGCCTCTTTGTTTACTTCCATGCCCTCATCCATAAAATGGGGATACATAAATAAAAACTGTCATAAAGATTAAAATGGAAAACACACATATAGCTTTTAGCATAGTGAATGATTTGAGTTCAGTAAGTAATAATATGGGTATTATTGTTGTAAATGTTAAACATTGTTTTTAATGTTAATTATCTTTTACAAAGTTATATAACAGCCTTAATCACTCACAATAAAGTGAACTAAAGATGACAACACGCATAGTGAAAGGAGCACATAATGAGGAGTTAGACAACACACAATTCACCTGGGATCATCTCCTTAACTAGTGGAGGACCTTAGCCATACCACCCTCCAGACCTCAGTTATTTCTTCTGTAAAATAAGCAGTATGGCCGGGTGCGGTGGCTCACGCCTGTAATCTCAGCACTTTGGGAGGCCAAGGAGAGCGGATCACCTGAGGTCAGGAGTTCGAGACCAGCCTGGCCAAAATGGCGAAACCTCGTCTCTACTAAAAATACAAAAAATTAGCCAGGTGTGGTGGTGCATGCCTGTAATCCCAGCTACTGGTGAGGCTGAGGCAGGAGAATCACTTGAACCCGGGAGGCAGAGGTTGCAGTGAGCCGAGATTGCACCATTGCACTCCAGTCTGGGCAATAAGAGTGAAACTCCATCTCAAAAAAAATAAATAAATAAAATAAATAAATAAATGAAATAAAATAAAACCCAACCAGTTTGGATGAGACGAATTCTGTGTTTCCTGCTATGTTTGTCAGGATCATAAAGTTCAATCTCAATGTGTGTGTGTGTGTGTGTGTGTGTGTCCTAGATGCTTCTAAGTATACCTTTATTGTAAGGGTAGTACGGTGTAACTAGCAATGCTTTTCATAGCTGTAAAAAATTCAGTTGTTGAAAGTTGATTATCTCTGCAGGTTTCTATCCTGAATGCTAAGTGTCCTCAAGCTTTGTAATTCTTATGTTCTATTTCTAATTTTTAGAACTTCTAGTAAGAGATGGCATATTATTCAAACAACACAATTTCCCAATGTTAGCCCTGTTATAAAATTGCTATGCTATTATTTCAATTTTTCAGTCCATAAACTATCAATGCATCTTTATTATTATGTTTATTATATATTGACCATGAAACACAAGAAAACTCTTAAATTCAATTCAAACAACCTTCCCTGAAGAGCAGTCAAAAATTAAAAACGTTTTAAAATTTAGTTGACGTGGGTTCTCACAATAAACCTGATAGCAGTGATTTCAATTCTTGTTATAACTCTGAATTACTTTGTTATTGCAGATGTCTCATTATTCTCATTAAAAAAACACATACACACAAAAAACACCTGTCTAACAAATAGAAGATTGTAAAAAAAAATTTGAGTATCTACACCTGAATATTTATAACATACAAATGGAGCATTCTGAAATTTCCAATTTTTTAAACAGCCAAATCAATAAATCCATGTATCTTATAGGCATTAAAATCATAGGATCAAATCCTTTACATTTTACAGTGCTGTAGATTTATATGGAAAATCAATTACTTCTGCTTACAACAAAGTGTGTAAGTGCTATATATATCCTGGGGACATGTCTAAACCAAAGCCAATCTACAAGTATGTAGCGCTCCCTGGTTCCTTAATGTTTTGTAGCATTGAAGACATATATTCCCATAATATCTAGCAATGCAACAGGTGTTTCTGTAGCCCAGTCACAGAGCAGGGGAGAGGAGGGAACGATTTTCCAAAGCTACTCAAAAAAATTTTAAGTATATGATGCTGTTCATTAACTCTTTTTATTGCTTTAGTTCAAATTTAGAAAGAGTATATATATATATATATACACACACGTATATATACATGTATATATATATATATATATATACACGCACATATATGTTTGCAGTAAATCTCAGGCATAGTCGCACATATAACTGCTCATATTTTGTTTGCATTCCTAAATGCTTTATTATAACTCATGAAATCAAGATGTAACAATATGAATAAAGCCTACATATTTTGGATCCAAATTCTTACAGCTCTATGAAGATGCAAATGGGCATTTGTGAGCTGTTCCTAATAACTAATTAATTCATCTCACTTTGCTTTTGGCTGGAATGATAATAAACCAGAGTGGTGATGGGTTACCTCATGCTGATTAGAAGTTCTAACTGTCACACATATTTTAGATGAATGAAAATGTAGAACTGAATTATTTATTTTTGAGTAAGTAAAGTTTATTAGAAGATACAATTCAAAATGATTGTCCTTGAGAGGAAAAATTTAAAAAGGAGTCTATAGTAGTTTGAATGGTATCCCCCTAGAATTCATGCATGTCTGAAGGATCAGCATGTGACCTTATTTGGAAATAGGGTCTTTACAGTTATAATTAGTTGATGATCTCAAGATGAAGTCATCCTGGATTTCAAGTGGGCTCTATCTCTAATGTCCTAATTGGAAGAGGAGAGAGGCCAGGCACAGTGTCTTATGCCTATAATCCTAGCACTTTGGGAGGCTGTGGAGGGAGAATGACTTGAGGCCAAGAGTTTGAGACCAGCCTGGGCAACAAAGCAAGACCTTGTCTCTACGAAAAATTTAAAAAATTAGCTGGGTGTGGTGAAACACACCTATAGTCCCAGCTGCTCCGTAGGCCGAGGCAGGAGGATCACTTGAGTCCCGAAGGTCAAGTCTGCAGTAAACTATGATCATGCCACGGTACTCCAGCCTGGGTAAGAGAGCAAAACCCTGTCTCAAAAAAACAAAACAAATAAAAAAGGAAGAGGAGAGAACACAGAGAGGAAAGTATAAAAAGATGGAGGCAGAGATTAGAGCAATGCATCTACAAGCCAAGGAAGACCAGGGACTGCCGGTAACCCCAGCAGTTAGGAGAGACTTGTGGGATGGGTTCTTTCTCAGAGCCTACAGAGGGAGCTGAACCTACCAACACCTTAATGTCAGACTTCTGGCCTCCTGAACTATGAGAATAAATGTCTATTCTTTCAAGTTACGAAATTCGTGGTATTTTGTTTTGGGTCTCTGCTGGTGAGAAAGCTAATAGTTGCCGTACTGCGTTTTTTCAATGATTTTACCTTAAACAGAGGGAAAGTCCTAAATGTGTTATTTAGGGAGTCAGAATCTTGGTTTGAAAA
Organism: Homo sapiens; assembly: GCF_000001405.40. Taxonomy (NCBI): domain Eukaryota; kingdom Metazoa; phylum Chordata; class Mammalia; order Primates; family Hominidae; genus Homo; species Homo sapiens. The sequence goes on along the minus strand of NC_000018.10, from coordinate 53,308,658 downwards.
TACTAACTGAATGTGTTAACTTCCATTTGCCAAAATAACTCATAAGGACTAAGCAATTAACGCTAGCAAATTCTACTGGCCATGAGGCTACTATTCATTTGTTTTCTGGACCACTGCTTTCTAAGCCATTCAGATGATATTGAGTTAGCATTAGTGGGAAGAAATCTTCAATTTTTGAAAGCAAAAATTGTAATATTTTTAACTTATTGTTTTTCATTTTGCATATGCAATTAAAAATACATATCATACTGTTGTTACAAAGTAAGCAATATTCACGGTCAACAATTTGGGATATATATTATTCTAAATATTTTTATGTGAATGCTTTTTTTAATAAATACGAGCTCTTGTACTAATACTGACTTAAAACTGGGGTATTTGCTTACTATGTTTTAAATAATCATAATTTACATATGATTTAACATTTTTACACTATTTCATTTAAATTAGACATATAGTATTCCAAGATACAACTGTGTCTGAGTTTTCTAGGTAACTTCCTATAGTTGGATATTTAGGTTTTCAAAAACACTATTAGCTATTAAAATAATATGACAATATGCATCTAGCTAAAAACTTTGCAAAAATATGATTGCTTCCTAGGATAAACTCGTAGAATTTGGAAACCTGGGTCATATCTTTATGAAAAGAAAATTATATGTACAGACATACATCCACATACACATGTATATACCTCGTATAAAATACATATATATATATATATATATATATATATATATATATATATATATATATATATACATACACACACATTGCTTTCCAGAAGGGTTATGGACATTTTCTGTCCCACAAGCAGTATATGAGAGTTTACATTTCTCATATGCTTTCCAGAATGGGATGCCCTCATTTATTTTTATCTTTATTACTTTAATCAAAGGAAAATGCTAACTCATTTTTATTTTAATTTGCATTTCTCTATTTGCTAATGAGATTGAACATTTTATCATCTTTATTGGCTGCGTATAGTTCTGTGAATTGAACATCCAATCATTAGCTTTTTTATTGGAATATTAATCCTTTAGTTAATTATTTTATAGTAAGAAATTAATTTTATATTCTCAATGTTTATCATTTGAGAAGCAAAAGCAATGATGATAAAGTTTTGAGGCTTCAAATCTCTATGTCTGGAAGAGCTTGGATTAAATTATCCTTAGTGTCTCCTCTACTCTAATATTAAATCTTAGAATCCATACTAAAATATTTTTAGCAAGATTTTTCAATTTTGGTGATTTCTCTCAAAGTAAAAGTCATATTGTACCAAATATCCTAATGAATACATGTTCCTCACTTTGATTATTTTTACCATCTTCCCCATTATTTTGTCAGGGGAAAAAGAAAAACATAGGATATTGGCTTTTCAAAATCTTTTAAAATGATATGGTAAATGTTAAACTTTCCGTTAGATTCAACCATTCCCTGCCTCAGAGATTTTGTCCATATTTAAAACATGATTTTTGGCAATCTACTTTGGAAGTGCTCTGGCCATTATGCTAAAATTATATAGGCATAAAAGACAACCTGAGAGAAAAGAAGAAAAAATAAATAAACAAGTTACTTTCAAGTCTCTGAGTGTAGGCTGAACAAGAAGCTTATAATGTGTGTGAGTCATGATTTCAAATGGAAATTCGCTGAGTATCTGGCGTAGAGAAAAGGAATACATAAGGGATTACTTTCTTTTTTCTCACTTGCAATGGTAGTTTACCTCATCTATAAATTGTAAGTCATGTGCTTTATGGTTTGTATGTTGTCCTGACCCAGTTTATGTGCCACTTCAGAGTCGCTCAACTTCATCTACCCAGCTGTGTCATGAGCCATTCTATATGCTTTGCTTGCCAAGTTTCTGGCAGTAGCTCAAGATATTCCTAGGTTTGAAAAGCCCTGAGCTCTGATCATACCCTAGGCCAAGCCACCATCACATAAAATGTTGATTGACAAAAAGACACCTATGTGTCTGCAGAGTCATCAGAAGCTCTGGCTTCACTGGGGACTGCCTGGGAGGTGCAGAGTAATCAGTAAGCTGTTGGTGAACTCAACCAGTGAGAAACAAGAGAGCAACTGCTCACACCTTCTATCCATGGACTGTGAGATAGTTCATGTGGCTTCTCAAGAGACACCCAGGAGACCTAGCAAGTGCTGTGTTTGCCCCGAAGTTGTGGCCACCACAGATGGATAATGTACCACCATTATCTGTTTTCTCTTCTTCCCTGGATTGCTTTCCTTGTTCTCTCCTTCTTGTTTTCCTGAACTTATAACTTTAAAGGTATTACGTTGAAAGCCTCGCCTCATTCTGTTTTCTAGGAACCTGAGCTGTTGTGAATTAAAGGTTGTAGTTATTAAATACATGATTATTTTATAAAATTTAAAAAAATATATTCTTTACATGCAAACTGGGTCCAGTTTTCATAGAGAAGGTTGATCTACTCTGAATTCTATCAATATTGCTGCATAAGTGAATTTACTTTATATTGGCAGAAGGTAGAATAATCTCTCTCTTTGTTTTACAATCTACCCTTTTCTTCAGTTTTCAACCCATTCTCACCCCTGAATATTGGTAGAGGGGAATCAAAGTGATTGAAATTGGAACAATTTCATTAGATGACTTTTAAAAGTTACTGGTTAAAATGTTAAGTTTTTAGATAACAGATGCTTTTGTTGAATCAGCAATGCTGAGAAACTAGTATGAATAAAAATTTTATGATACATGTATTAAGACGATGATCCAGAGAGAAATATATAGTGAAAACATTATAGAGAATGTAAAGTTAAAAATATAAAGGTTGTTCTTGTTCCAGCCAATAGATGTCACCTGCCTGGATGCCAGGAAGAAAATCAATGTTCCTTTGGAGTGAGACTATATTTTATTCCTAAAGCATTTAATTCATCAAAACCTTGCAAGACTACACCATGTGAACACTGACCTGTGAATAGGTACCAGAGGTTGTTTGGCTCCAGTGTTTCCATCTCACCCCTGCGGGTCGTCTTTCTGTGTCGAATTTTATAGCCGGTAATAAATCCATTTTGTGTTCCTGATGGAGGAGGCAGCCAGCTAACTTTGATACTCTGTAAAATAATAGGTGTAAATTAAAACATTGAAGAAAGAAAGGACAATGGGACAGGGTCAAAGAAGTAACCCAAACGTAAGTGTGAAGAAAGCAGAGAAGCAAGAAGTGTTAGCGATTGCCACTTAGAGACAAATTAAATTCGTTCTTATAATCTGACAGCATTCTTATTTGTCTGGTTTTAACAAAAATACACATTTCCTTTGATTGATTGAATGCATTATCACCTCTCCTTTGCATACACTGCTAAAATGACAGTAAAATATTCTAAATGGTATAAAGCCACAAAACAATAGAGAATAAGGTTATATTGCATGAGAGATGTCAACTAATATTTGGAAGGTGCAAATCGGAGGGAGCTATAGTGGATTAGTCTGTTCTCACACTGCTAATTAAAGACATACTTGAGACTGGGTAATTTATAAAGAAAAAGAGGTTTAATGGACTCATAGTTCCACATAGCTGAGAAACCTCACAATCATGGCAGAGTGCAAAGAAGCAAAGACATGTCTTACATGGCAGCAGGCAAGGGAACGTGTGTAGGGGAACTCCCCTTTATAAAACTATCAGATCTCGTGAGACTTATTTACTATCATGAGAACAGCACAGGAAAGACCTGCCCCCATGATTCAATTACCTCCCAACGGGTCCCTCCCATGACAGGTAGGAATTATGGGAGCTACAATTCAAGATGAGATTTAGGTGGGGACACAGTCAAACCGTATCATAGGTTGACTGAGCCAAAGAAGAGAGCCGGAAAACTAAATACGTTTTTAAGAGACAATAATAAAAAAGCAAGGCAATGAAAAGCACATCAAAAGTCAGGGATTCCTAGACATTGTTCCTGCTTATATAACTTGGAAGGTAGGACTTCCAAGCATAGTCCTGAAGGAGGGGAAGGACTGAAAGTCATTCAGATCAGGTTTCTACCTATACCCAGTAAAACCAGGCTACTAACCCTCCCTGACCTTGGAGGTGTTGGTAGCTTTATCCTCTGGGGATATTCAACTCAGAGGCCAAAGTTTCAGAGATATTAAACACAGGAGAGAACAGGGATGTAGGCAAGAGTAAGTAAATCAAAGATATGAGCTACCCATGTCTTCTTCCTTCATATGATACCTAGAGCAATGGCAACCAGGTATATGCTTCTTGGGTAGAATATCATATAATCCTTCTCTAGAGAAAATTATTATCTTTGCCCTAGAGAAAAAAAAAGCAGTCATATCCCTGATCAATTCCCCAACAATGAGGCTCCTACTGATATGGACAGGAGACAGGGAAATACTGGGTAAAAGAAGGTGGTTCTCTGGCAAAAGGCCCCACCCTCAAGCCTGGAAACCCACAGCCCTAAATGAGAACAGTCATTCCTGTTTTCACACCCAAATGTTGCCTTTTGGCCTGCCATGTCCCCCTATCCTGTACCCATATTAACCCCAAACCCCAGGCTCCACAAGCAAATGAGCAGACTAGCAGAAGAGGAGAGGAACAGAAGAGCAGTGTGGCAGAAAAGAAGAGAAGAGAAGGAGCATCTGAACATCGAGAGGAGTTCAGCTGGGGATAGTCGGGTAGGAGATCAGCCATGGGACCACCAAACTCCAGGGGAAGATCATCTTCCCACTCCACCCCCTTTCTAGCTTCCCATCCATCCTGCTGAGAGCCACCTCCATCTGGCAATAAAATCCCCCACATTTACCATCCTTCAATTTGTTCATGTGACCTGATTCTTCCTGGATGCTGGACAAGAACCCAGGTACCAAGAAGGCACTGAGCTGGTTAACACTTAAGCTGTCTGCAGATGGCAGAGCTGAAAGAGCACTGTAGCACACTCACTGGGGATTTGGGAGTCACAGACAGCAACCCCTAGATGCTACTGTGGGCTCAGAGACCAAAAGTGCTCACCCTAGCTCCTGCCTGTCTGCATGCTCCCTGTCCCATAAGGGGTTTGAGGGTGCAGCAGCCAAACAGACAGGCCACACCGGTGTCACATATCCTGCAAGGGGGGTCAAGTAATTCTCCCATTTCACTACTTAATAAGTCCAACTCAAGTGCTAAAATTTGTAGTTTAAAATCAGCTTTTTCATACTTCATTTTAATGTAAACTGACAATTTAAGATTACCAGACATCAAAGAAGGCCCTTAGCATAAAGGAAGTGGAAAAAGTAATACATAAGAAGATAACAGCACATGAAGGAAACATCAGTAATGCAAAGAATGAAATCCAAAAAGACGTCATTAATACCCTGGTAATCTAAGAAATGATAATCCATCCATCAACAGGATAAAAACACAAGAATATTAAAAGATTTTTAGAAACTTATTACAAATATAATTTGATTGCACAAATTAAATATTCAATAAATAAGTTGGAAGATGAATTAAAAGAAATCTCTCAAAATTCAGTGGGAATAAATTATCACATGAAATGGGAGAGAAAAGGTAACAAATTAGAGATTTGGTTCTCAATTTCCAACACCCCTGAGGAGAGAATAAAAAAGCAGGAAAAATAAAAGGTAGAAAATTAGCAAAAATGATAAAATGACCCCTTTCCCAATAAAACTTTACAAAACTGGAATACTTGAGACTCTAGTCTGAAAAAGATTGTGGAATATTAAACAAAATAAATGCAAAACAGATCCATTTCAAGGCACATTGCTGTAAAATACTAGAGCCTCATGGAGAGTGGGGAGGGGATCCACAAGTTTCCAGAATGAAGGGGAAAAAAGCAGGTCACATAAAACATGATCAACAGTAAGAATGGCATCAGATTTCTCAACAACACTCGATATTAGAAAACAACAGAACATGAATCATACAATTCTAATCTAGGATTCTAAGTCTAGAATTTAATGTCCAGTCAAATAAGCAAGCATAAGGATAATATAGCACAAGTATAAGAATATATGCTAAGGACAGTATAGGGATATTTCAGATATACATGGTTTCTAAGATATCTATTTGTGTTTTCCTTAACAGGAAGCTAATGAAAGATGTGTTCCAGGAAAAGAGTGCAGTCTGAAAAAAAAATATTTAAAACACAACAAACAGCGTTGAAGACAATGAAGAAAATTGTAATGTGATAAAAGATATAATATGATGAAAAACCAGACTCGAAAGAGTACATACTGTTTAATTCCATTTATGTGAAGTTAAAGAATAGGCAAAACTAATCTACAGTATTCGAAGTCAGAATAGTCTAAATAGTTGTTCTGGGTTTTGATTGGAAATGGGTACCAGTAGACTTTTTGGGGTGATGGAAATCTGCATATTGATGTCATGTTTGTTACTCAGATGGATACAATTGTCAAAATACATATTTATGGGCTGAATTTTGACCACCAAGAGTCATATGTTGAAGTTATTACTCCTGTATCTTAGAAGAATCTGACTGAATTTGGAGATAAGTCCTTGAAGGAGGTAATGAAGTTTAAATTAGTTCACGAGGGTAGGTCTTAAATATGACATGATTGGTGTCTCTAAAAGAAAATAAGGACACAGATATGCACAGAGAAAAACCACGTGAAGACACAAGAAGAAGGTAGCCATCTATAAGCCAAGTGAGCGAGGCCTCAGAAGAAACCAAATCTGCCAACACATTGATCTTGGACTTCTAGCTTCACTAACTGTGAGAAAATAAATGCCTGTTTTTTAAGCCACCCAGTCTGCAGTATTTATTATGGCAGCCCTAGAATACCAGTATATTCATGAGACTGAACACTTAAGATTTATAATTTCATTTATTTTAATTACACCTCAACAAAATAAGGAAGAGGAGGAGAAGCAGCAGTAGAAAAAAGAGAAAAGATTGGAGAAGAAAATGAGGATGGAAGTGTGTCAGCACCAAATCCTGACATAAAAATAAACCAATAGATGATATCTACAAATGATGAATTAAAACTGGTAAACTAAGAGACATCTAAATAAGTAGATTACTGAGAAACATAAAGGTAAATGTCAGAAAAAAAAAGGCAGTCTTTAGGGAATGGAGGCAGGGTTTGGGGAGGGGAAAGAAAGAGCCTGTTTGTTTTTGTTATAGGCTTGTTAGTATTATTTAACTTAAAAAATAATGTGCATGTAATACTCTGAAAATATTTAAATTAAGTTTTAAAATAAGCACACAGAGGTTTTTTGTTTGTTTTTTTTTTTTGAGGTGGTAGAAACAAATTACAGGCTGTTAGAAAGAATCCAGACACAGCCGGGTGCAGTGGCTCACACCTGTAATCCCAGCACTTTGGGAGGCCGAGGCAGGTGGATCACCTGTGGTCAGGAGTTCGAGACCAGCCTGACCAGCATGGAGAAACCCCATCTCTACTAAAAATACAAAATTAGCCAGGCGTGGTAGCGCATGCCTGTAATCCCACCTACTTGGGAGGCTGAGACAGGAGAATCGCTTGAACCCGGAAGGTGGAGGTTGCAGTGAGCCGAGATCACACCATTGCACTCCAGCCTGGGCAACAAGAGCAAAACTCCATCTCGGAAAAAGAAAGAGAGAAAGAAAGAAAGAAAGAAGGAAAGGAGAGGAAAGGACAGGAAAGGAAAGGAAGAAAAAGAAAAAGAAAAGAAAGAGTGAAAAGAAAGAAAAGAAAAAAAAAGAAAGAAAGAAAGAAAGAAAGAAAGAATGAATCCAGAACCAACGTCAAATAATGGATTTGTCCAGGACCTCCCTGTCCCTGCTTCAGTCATGGAGCAGAGGCAGAGCTAGACTCTCCAGGGAGATAGAAATCCAACCTCCTTCTTCCAGATCTACCACAAATTAGCTGGTGCTCTGCAGATAAGTTTCTCTGAGAGAAGAAAAAAAATATAATCTAAATTTGCATTTACTTGCTGAGTAACTTACTTTGTTATTTTCTGTATAGCTGCCCTCACCCCAGCACTGAATTTGAGAATACTGAAATATTGCTCCTAGGGGAAATATAGGTTTAGGTTCCTTCAAGCCTCTGGTTACAATATTTTTGTCAACTGATGGGTACCCAACCTTGTTTTATGTGTGTTTCTATTTAATGATACCTTATTTAATATGACAGTATTGTCAACTCTTTAACTTTGAACTTTAATGCGAGAAATAAGGCAGATCGCAGCCTTCTTGCTCTTAGGAACACTGGACAGTGCTTCAGCACTCCACTCTGGGATCATTTTAAACAGAAAAATCACCAACCAAAAGCACAGAAATACAAAAAACATGGCACCAAATGGACCTCAAAAAGGGTGCTTGTTTACAGTATGAGGGCTAAAACAAGAAGACAGAGCATCTCTTTCTTCAACCTCAGCTGGGAACGTGGACATTTGGCAACTCAAATTTTACCCTGCTCTAAGCATAACCACAAAGCACCAAGGGTATTGATTTGAGTTGCAAATAAATTTTAGCAAGCAGGCAGGCAACTTTGCAACTACAGAATCTGTAAATAATGAGGATCAACTGTACTTATATAATAAAAATCTTTTACTAATTTCAGAGGAATCTAGTTACATACAATTGATCTGATTAAGTTGGTAGAATATATTCAAAATACTATCGCACTGAGATCCTTTACTTTGTTTCCACTATTCTTTAAGTGTGATAAATTAAGCACCACTCTTAACTACTATTTGTTAACATATTTTTTGCACTTACTTTAGACCTGGCAATGGTCTAAGCACTCTGCATTATTTATATTTTTATGCTCATTATGACTCTGTGAGTTAAGGTCTATTGCTATGACCTTTGTAAAATCAGGTAAACTGGGACAAGAATGGTTAAATAAAATAGACATGTATCCAACAATAGGCAGAATTTTAACTGAGATAACATGAGTCAAAAGGAGGACATTCTTTTCTGCTTAATATTGCCTCCTATGAGAAGTTCAAGAGGCTGAGAGTCTAATTCATTTAGTTGTTACTCATTCAACATGTATCAACTACATTCTTGATGTGGTAAACATGTAAATAAGTCATGATTTACCCATTCTGGCTGAGGAAAGAGACATATGAACTAATAATGAAAAAACAACATGCTAAGGTTTATAGTAGAATGTCCAAGAGTGATTAATTCTATGTCATATGACCAAAAGGACTTTACAAGGAACTCATCCTTCAAGTGTGATTTGGAGTTCACGGAGGGGTTGGGAATGGTATTTAAAACAGGAAATATCAAGAACAAGCTCAAGATGTAAGGACAACGTCAAGCATCTTCAGGGAAAGCTCATGTAGTCTCTTAGTGGCTAAAGCAAAGGATATATAGGATAAGGAAAAGGAAAGGTAGATTGGGAAAAACATTACAAAATTTTTCAGACCATGCAAAAGAGAGAGAAGGCTGGATTAATGTGTTCATTTAAGGCATTTGGCTAAGTTATTTAGGAGATAAAATAATGCATAAAATAATAGTGTAGAGTCCCTGGCTGCAAAGAACTCATAGTCTTAAATACACACAAGCCCATCTATTCCCTTCTTCCCCACCATTCATACATGTAGGTGCACATGTGTGGACATATTCTTTACTCCCCAGTGTTTTAGAAACTAGGAAAGAAAACCAGAATTAAAAGAATAGTCATGGTTTATGTTTCACTACTCATCTTAGTGGTGAGTGGTGAAATGGCAGATATTATCACCATTGATGATTTTACAAAGAAGGAAATTGGGACACAGTTAAAAGAAGGATAGGCCCAAGGTCACCTGGCACTATCAATGGAAGACTTCCCAACTGTGGGGTCTAATGTTCCTTTCATTATTTCACACTAAAATAAGTAATCACAGGGACTCTACTTGGCAATTATACTCATCTAATTTCTCCTATTCTCTTTAAAAACTAGAATTTAAATAATTTAAATTATTCTTTTAAAATACATCCAATAAGCTTTCCCATACAAAGCCCTTGGAAAATCAAGGAGGGCCACCTTCTGAAGACTACAGCTGTTTTTAAAGTCAAAAATAAATTCAAGTTGAAAAGGAAAATACAAATGTAGATATTAAACCTTAGAACAAGAATTAGAACCTTTTAATTTCCAATTATTGTTTTGCTGTGACTTTGCTGAGTGACCTTCTGCAAGCCTTTTTTTTTTTTTTTTTTTTTTTTTTTTTTGAGTCAGGGTCTCTCTGTGTCATCCAGGCTGGAGTGCAGTGGTGCAATCAGGGCTCACTGCAGCCTACACCTCTCAGGTTCAAGTGATCCTTCCACCTCCTGTGGGACTACAGGCAGGAGCCACATAGTCCGGCTAAATACTTTCTGTATTTTTTGTAGAGACAGGGTCTTGTCATGTTGTCCAGATTGGTCTTGAACTCCTAGGCTCAAAGGATCCACCCGCTCACCCTCCCAAAGTTCTAGGATTACAGGAGTGAGCCACCATCCCCAGTTATGAGTCTAATAAGTGATCTGAATCTCCATGTACATACTGAAAAAGAGAGAACAATTGTGCTTAGTATGTCTACCAAGTGTAAATCACTTGATAAGCCTGGAGAACTTAATTATACTAATGATTACATAAGTAATAGTTTTTGACAATTTTTCTTTATCACATTTGAGGATTTCCAGTGATCGCTTAAATTATTCCCACATAGCCAATACCTTAATATCGATGCCAAGCAGCAATTAATTAATATAATCAGTTATACACTCAACACACCAGGAGTGAAACCCCCTGAATGGTTATTATTCATCTTTGGAAGTGATTATTATCAGTTTTATTCATCCTCATCTGTAGGTAGCAGCTAAGTTTATTAGCATCTTTTGTGCTTTCTCATTGACTTCAAGCGTCAGCAGATTACAAAGATTCTTTCTTCTTAGGTTCTTTAGTAGATGATACAGCTGGAGGCTCCAAATTATATTGTGTTTTAGGAAGTTAAATGAAAGCATTCAGGCATTCTTTTCTTATTAATGTTATAAGGCATCTTATTTTCTATATGAGACCTATTTTGCCACTGCCCAGTAGTTCAGACTTCATTTCCCATTCCCTCAGCAAGCCACCAAAAGCTGTTGCTGTTACGGGAACATTTTTGTAAAACAACCTAGCTTTCATAGGCAACCCTGGCAATGATTTTTATTAAAAGTACTTAACACATGACCTTTGACTTTTGAAAAATCAGTTCTAGTAGCTGTGACTTGACTTTTGGTCCTTTTATTACTTGAGAGGGAGAAATTAATCCTTATCACTTGCAGTGTTCTATCCGAATCAATGAATAATTTCAGTTTTCTTCATATTTGGGAAAAAATAAGAACTATAAAATTTAGCTTCCTCTAATTCCTCCATCCCCTCTTTGATCACCATAAAAATTATTTATTTGCCAAGTAAACCTGATGGAAAAGAGTTAATTGATTTAAAACAAAGGGTGTCACTGGCCAGTCTCCAAACTGCCTGGGATAGTCATGTCCAATTCAATGATGTGGTGTTAGCCTTTTCCTGGGATCCATTAAAACACTGCTTTCTGTTTTCTCCACTGTAGACGTACAAGAGTAGTAAGTGAGGAAACAGGAAAAAAAGAGGTTGATAAGCCCACCACTCCAATTTTTCTCAGAAGCCACATTTCATAAACTTATCATATTTTTAACTCCACATCTCCTACTGCACACTGACATTCTGCCTTACTCTCTCCAGAGTGACCTTCAGGTGAAGACAAACCCATTTTGATCCTCGTCAAACACAGTCAGTTACTCTAGCAAAAAGCCTTTTTTAAAAAAGATGGTTTTATCTAGATGGAATTCCCATAGAAAGCTATGAAGGGCACTCTGAAAGTCCTTGCAGCAAGTAAGAATGCCTTGGCTGGAACATAGCAGGAATCTACGAATCTTGAAAACTAATTTAAAATCAGTTTTGGACTTCTGGTGACTTGAATCTCACAGGAAGTTGCTTTCAGAGTAAAATATGCTCCCAGTATGCATGAGGCCCTGAGGGTTTTCATTAAAGTGTGCCCATCAGTACTTTGAAAGAATTTATTTTCACTGAGTCCCTTTTCTGCCCAGTTATGTATATTTCCTCTGACACTACCCTAATTCTGACCTTGATTTGTCTATTGCCCAGAATATTGCCATAGCTAACTGGCGCCCCAGCCTCTACTCTCACACTGCTCACACCCATCTCAGTTACCTTTCTGGTCAGTGTGTGACCCTGAATTTGCAACATAAGCCTTCAGAGACTGAGTTTTCTCATCAGCAGTATGAGCTAATAGCAGTCCCTCCCTCGTAGGATTATGGTACAAATGAAAGGAAACAATGAGAACGTGTGAAAGTTCCATCAGAGTGCTGGCACATAATATTTATGTAGTAAATCAGAACTACTTTAAGGGAAACTGGGAGGAAAAGGGAAAGAGAAAAAGAGAGAGTGACAGTGAGGTCCAGCGATCCAGAGATTGAGAGACTGAAAGATTGTGAGGGTGCCAGGTAGAAAGAATAAAGAAAAGCAGAAGTGGAAAACAGCAGGAAGGAAGGAAGCAAGACCACGTACAGTAGCAATGCCAAGAATATGGACCTACTTATTTGTGCACTGACCCAACAATTGAACATTTGTTTCTACTGTGAACTGAAAGGAGCACTGAGAGAGAGAAATTGTCTAGCAACACTTTTGTAACTTCTATTCTATGAATACTTATTGAGAAACTTCCTCTGTGCAGGGTACCATTCACATTTCTTACTGTACCAAATAGAACCTCCGGGCATGGGTAGTGAAGAAACCTTGGGATACAGCAAAATAAAAAATCCCATATATATTTTTGGAGGTAGACTTGACAGGATTTGGTGAATTATTGAATGTCAAATGCAAAGGAGGACAAGTCATCAAGAATGACAGGTTTCTGACATAGGCAACACGGTAGATAATAATGCATTTACATGGATAAGGTTTTCTGAAAAATAATCCACTTTCCAAAAGAAAAAACAAAACACTGGACTTACCTACCAGATATCCAACAAATGGAAACACTCAGAGGATATAGAAACAAAGATTACCCATATGGATTCATTCTGTTTAATGTTGGAAAGGGCAGTTTTCAAATTTCATCATTCAGAACAAATGTTATACTCATAATCTCAAAATTACAAAATAGCAACATTTAATGTTTAACTTACAGTATCTATCTAAATACTTGGTAAATATTTCTATAGATCCTGAAAACATCTAACTGAATTTCAAGCTAGAACATAAATATCTATGAAAAAATTCTATTATGTGTATTTGTAAACAATTTTCATTAACAATTTTGTCTTTTTATAAACTATGTAAATCTATAAACTTATTTTACCAACCCAGCATGGATTTGATAAAATATCAATATGATATAATAAAGGCCCATATTTTTTCCTACTCTTATATGCTATTTTTGTTGATTTGACATATTTTTAAGTTTAGCATTAATAAATATATAATTTCTTGTATTAAGGGAAGTTAGAAATTTGGGTAGAATACTAAAGTTGAGATCCGTAATTTCATGTAGACAACTGTTAGACAAAATGTATCAGTATGATACATTTCCAGAGGGAAAACTCTGACATTACTATGCAAAGTTTGAAGTAAATATTTGTGCAGTAATAAAGTATGTTTAAGTACACGTTGGGTAATATTTGATTTTAAATAAAATTTTATGGAGATGTCTTAAATTGAAGCAAGAAATGTTACTTTGTTAAAAAAAATAAAGGCTAAGCTGTTGTGATTTTATTTAACAGCTTGAAAATGATACAAACATTTCTTCATCAATACATTTATATAGTTGTAAAACAATCTAATCTTTATCTTTGCCCTGCTGGCCCCTGGTTCTCGTAAAAGTGCCAGTGGAACTCTTACCTAGAGATTAAGCTCTCCTTTACCTACTCTGGGAGAATCCTTTCCCTGGTTATGTAAAAACGTAAGCCAACCTGGGACAATTTCTCAGATTGTTCAACTTCAAATCAAATCATCTACTTTGATTTGGGTCCCAGCTCTTGTAACAGTATTTCTCTGGTGGGGACACTGCCTTGTTTCCGGGTGAGTCCCCCTTCATTTTGTTAATCTGCCAGGTCCCTCCAAGACATGCAAGGCTGAGTCCTCCAGCGATGACTGTCTTCTCTGAGACTCTAATCAGAGGCTGGCAGACTTCCCTTCCAAAATACACCCACCCTTTCTGAACTTAGGCATGTTACCTGATTTAGCGCTCTGAACCAGCAAAACCTACTAGCCTTCTGATTCACAACCAGAAATGTCTCTTCAGTCTTTTTGACTCCCCTATCAGGCATAACTGCTTTCTACCACTCCACTTCTCTGGATACTGTCTTTTTGAATGACAGCCTTCATCACCTCACTTCTTCTGGTTTAGGGCACAGCCCTCCTGCCACTGGCTCTGAACTCCATGCCTGTTCATCCCCAAGATCTTTTTCAAGTGTATACAATCAACACAGTTAGGGTTATTTTTTAAAAAATCATTTACACCAGTAAGAAATGTTATCCGAATTATGCTCCACTTCTTATATGTTCCATTTTTATATTTTTTAGCCAAACTGAGCTAAATTTAAATTGATTTTGGGAAATTGACATGCCACCACTTTTCTCTGCTTTAATCTAATTCTTACAACTCAAACTTCACAATTCTAAGGAAAAAAAAGGAGAAACTAATAACTTACCCAACCCGCTTCATTGTAGGAGCACAGGAGACTTGAACCAGTAAATTAGGGTCAAATAGGTTTCCAAACCTTCATTGTGAGGTCCCCAATCTATGACTGTTCACAGAGACACAGGAAGCCCAGTGGAGACTAATAATTTGAGAGTCTGGTAGGCTAGTATTTTGCACACTTCCAAAGTAATATATAAAAAACTACTTCTTGAGTTATTTAAATATGAAGCTCGGAGCTCTATCAGGAGAAAAGTGGACAACAGCTGAGAGTAGCCTGCAGACATCTCTCTAGTGATGAGGTTAATTCAACTGTAGCCCCAAACTGGCATGCTAATTCTGGACCATAAACACTAGTGATCCTTGGACACAAAAAGGGAGGCAAAAGACACCAGGGCCTACTTGAAGGTATAGGGTGCGAGGAGGGAGAGGAACAGAAAAATTAACTATTGAGTACTAGGCTTAGTACCTGGGTGACAAAATAATCTGTACAACAAGCCCCTATGACACAAGTTTACCTATATAACAAACCTGTACATGTACCCCTGAAACTAAAATAAAAATTTAAAAAACGCTAGTAATCTATTTAAAAATTTAACTCCAAATGTTAAATGAATCTCAGATCCTAGGCACAGATGTACAGAAACATGTTGGAGGTCTTCTTAATTTTTATACCAGGTGTGGTGCTTAGAAAATCTTATTAGATGTTCTATCTAGCTGCATTCCTATTGCTTCTTGACTTTTTGGCTAAGATCAAGTGTAGTGTGCATTTCTGAATCATTTAGAGAAAGGCAGAATAGTGTTCTGCACATAAAAGGTATTCACGGACTGTATGAACATGGATGCATATTGTTCTACTCTCAGCTTTTCATTAATTTGCTAAGTGACAGTAGAAATTATTTATATAGCAGCATCAATTGTATGTATTACAACATTATCTCTCCCTAGTTATTGAGAGGTGATCGATGAGAAAGGGCTTAGAAAATTGAAAACACTACAAAATACAAAGTTTTGCTCTTATTTTAGTTTTCCCATGTCACGATTGTCATGATTTGCAGTAGGAGTAGTATGGATAACTGTTTTGAAACACAAAATGACATTAAAAACTGAAGCAAGTTTTCAAAGAATTAAGTAATCAAGTCACTTTGGCCTCACATGATTGGGTTTCACAGACATAAAAATAAATAAATGGAGTGATTCTGGTTGTGACTGAATTACCTTCATAAATACTTAATCTGATTGCAACAATTAGATTACAAATCTCTGAGAAATGTTCTTTTGCTTCTCAAAGACAATTCAGCATTGTGCAAAGATTTGTTTTTTTGTTTTGTTTTGTTTTTGTTTTTGTTTTGAGACGGAGTTTCGCTCTTGTCACCCAGGCTGGAGTGCAGTGGCACGATCTCGGCTCACTGCAAGCTCCACCTCCCGGGTTCAAGTGATTCTCCTGCCTCAGCCTCTTTAGTAGCTGGGATTACAGATGCCCACCACCCATGCCTGGATAATTTTTTGTATGTTTAGTGGAGACAGGGTTTTGCCATTTTGGGCAGGCTGGTCTTGAACTTCTGACCTCAGGTGATCTGCCCGCCTTGGCCTCCCAAAGTGCTGGGATTACAGGTGTAAGCCACCATGCCTGGCTGAGGTGGTTTTTTTTAAATAGTAAATTTTCCCATATTCAGATGAATGACCCATAGAAACATCACTTTTTCCACTGATTACCACAGCTCTATTCGAGTTGCTTCTCAGATATGTAACCATATATGGTTTCTATTATGGGAAGAAAAATAAAGAAAAATCAATTAATCCTTCCTGCCCGCTGGGCTTTCTTGGCTAACTAAGCAAAACCAACCCAATATTCCTAAACTGACTAAGAAAATGATCCCCAAATGTCAGAGTATAGCCCAGCTTACAGGAAAAAAGGGGGGGGGGGTGGAGCTCAAAGAATAAAAAGACATGAAAAGAAAGCAGTGAGTTTGGTGTGTACCTAGCATCTTCTTTTTTTAAGCTCCTGGATTTAAAATAGCATTTTTTACATCTGATAATTTTCTATGCATAGCCTAGTAGCCAGGCTTGTTTCTTCTAGGTCCTAGAAACTGGAAATGTAATTTCTAGGAGGTATTCACGTTTTGACAAAATTCCATTACAATAAAGCAATTTGGTTGTTCCCTAGAGTTTATGATAAAGTGAGTTTACGATTAATACATTTTGGAATTTGTCAGTATCAATAGACTTAATTCTCCAGTGCCTAAATCATTCCTTGGAAGTAAGCTGGATGTTTAGAAGGGCTTATTAACTCTTTCAGATCACTAGGTCCTTTCTCAGACTATTCGTTTGTACTAAATAAAACTACTAAAAGCAATATAATATATTTGATGTAGGAACTAGACCTAAGAAAGCTGGAATAGAAATACATCAGGGGAGTTATATGTAAAATTACACCCTAGAAAGGCACAAGAAAATAGGGCCAGTATATAATTTAAGGCAGAAAATACAGTGTTCACTTATTTCTTATTTCCTTTGTGTTTTGGAACATGGAAACTAGATAGAATTTGAGCAGTAAGGTGAGTAGTACAACTTGAGAAAAGTTTATTTCACCAGATATTTAAGCAACCTGAGTCAAAGAGAAAGAAGGTTTAAATACGATTCATGCCATATAAAAACGGCAACTATAGGATAAGATGCATTTATCAAGAATAACCACTGAGATCGCAAGGTATTATAATAATGCCCTCATGATAAAATAATTGTGACAAACGAATTTGGGCTCTTACAAAATGAAATATTAGTTTATAGGCTGTATAACGCTTAATCAGAGAAAAAAATGACATAATTTTTACAATATCTTATACTCCAATATCTTTTTTCTTTTTTTTTTCGAAATGCAGTCTTGCTCTGTCACCCAGCCTGGAATGCAGTGGCACCATCTCAGCTCACTGCAACGTCCGCCTCCTGGGTTCAAGCAATTCTCCTGCCTCAACCTTCTGAGTGGCTGGGATTACAGGAGCCTGCCACCACACCTGGCTAATTTTTGTATTTTTAGTAGAGACAGGGGTTTCACCGTGTTGGCCAGGCTATTCTTGAACTCCTGACCTCGTGATCCGCTAGCCTCAGCCTCCCAAAGTGCTGGGATTACAGGTGTGAGCCATTGTGCCTGGCCCCAACATTTTTTTAAATTAATAAACCAGAACTTTTAAAATTATTGTCATAAAATAAGTCATAGTGTTTGATGGGAGAAATATAATTGCAAATCAACTTCTTCCTGTACAGAACCATGCCCTTTTCACTTTTTTGCTTTTATATACAGAAAAATTTAGGTATGGCCAATATTCAGGGATAAACATGTACAGCTGGGTCTATAGTAAATAAGGAAATAAGATCTTGTGAAGAAACAGTTTTTTTTTTATGAAACCACAGAAGTGGCTATTAACAGCGGCCTATCTTCAAGCAAACTGTCAAATTAGGCCCTAAGTAATTAATCTCTGAAACCAGCAGGCTTTCAATCTCAGAGCAGCCATCTCAAAGACACGATGTACCATGTAATTACATGGGACATTACAATGTATTTATGAGGTCATTTGTTACAATGTACAGTAATTACAGAGTACTTATATAGCTATTTATGTCTCATAAAATGAAGTGAGACTAAATATTTTAATTGTTTTGGAGAAATAAGGAAAATATTTGAGTTCCAAATGTCAGGTAAGATTATAGATCAGATTCACATAACTCATGTTAACAGCAGGCTGCTTTCAGAACCACAAGTGTTTTGTGGCTTTCTCCTGTTGGAAATGAAGACTTCAGGCATCCTAACAAATATTCCTACCAGGGATGAGGTAAATGGAATTGTTCTCTCTCTTCGATCTTCAGGTAATGCCAGATGATAGACCAATAGTATGATTTACTAGTTACACTTTACATCCAAACCATAAATGTTCAGGTGACAATAGAATTGCTGGATTAAAAATAGTGTCATATACAATGCTTTCACAAATAGCATACCATGCAACCAAACAGAATGATAAAATACCTGTCCTTGTGTTTTTCATTTCTATTGCTTTGAATCAAAATGGTATTTGCTCAGATTTTCATTCCCTCTCCTCAAGCACACAAATCTAAAATCCATTCCCATTTTCTGAAAAAGAGAAAATTTTTAGGAAAATTTTTGAAGTAGTTTTCTCCTAAATTTCTTTCCTTTATCCCAGTCTATACTTGGAAGTTTTTACTTGGCTTAATAGGTGACTTTTGGCAGCTGACAGAAGAGATGTTACATCTGAAGCATCACGTCAGATGCACAATCAAGAGATCTCAGCAGTCTCAAAATTACATGGCTGGTTTTAAAAAATAAAAAAACACTCTTTTTGGATTGTTAATGATCTTTTTTTATTAATGTCTGCAGAAAATCTCACTATAATTTACATTAGTCACTTTATTAATTTGTTCAATAAACATCCCAAATGCTTGCTACACTCCAGGCATGGTGCTGAAACAGGCATATTCAACTCAAACTCTTTCCTTGAAGAACATGATTGATTCTTTCCAGTGAAAGATTATATAATGCTCTTGGTAAATCAGGTTTACTTAAATCTACTAAGATAAATAGACACACCATACTATAGTCCCCTTTTGAGAAAATAAATTCTGGCTTCGTAGAGAATTTATGCCTCTAAATTAGAATGATTATGATTTGATCAATCATGAAACACAAATAATATTACCCAGTCTTTGCTTACTATTGCTGTCTCCTATTCGTGTGATTCCATGCTTAGAAACTGCAAAATAGTTTTCAGTTACGATGGTATAGGTAAAATGTTCCTTTCTAAACTTGAGCCTATATTGCGAATTTCAACAATTATTTTTCAAAAGGAATAAATATCAAATCTTTTTTTTTGTCATGCAGATATTCTTACCACTAAATTGTTATAAATATGTGAACTAATTAATGTCTGTAAAGGCTGATCAGCAGGTTGACAGTGATACCCACTGCAGCCTCCTGGCAAATCAAGGATTCTATCAGTGTTTAATGACTATAACATTCCTATATAATGGTCCTAGTATTTGCCAAATCCAGATACTCAGAACCCACACAACCATCTGCAGAATGTGGCCTGTTAATATGCACATAAACCAATTAAAAATCACAGACTCATTCAACAGCCAGTCAGGTCAATTCTGATCTACTGTACCAATTTTATTTATACATGCAGAAAGAGCAAGTCTATTCTCCACTAAAGTTCAGATAAGTTAATGAGTGAGAGAGTAGTTGAGAAAATATTCCCAACTTATTCCAACTTAAGAACAGTTAGAAGTAGTTTACTTTTGAAAAAAGTATGGGTAACTATCAACACTTCAATCAGTATTTCAATTAGATATGTAATCGTTCTGCATCTAATTGATTAACAATTAGCAGCACCTGTAGTTGGCTATAATTTTAATTACTGATTGCATTAGGGCTGACTACTTAAAATTATATCTGCACAAAAGCCATTAGATTACAAGGAAAAGAATAAAACTATTCCAAAATAATTACTCTATTAAAATTGAGATTAAAGCCAATTAATAAAATATTTTAAAAGATTTTTATTTCAAGCAATGTTAACAGATTTTCCCTCAATTATGCAACATGGAAAGAAACCGCCCAGTGATCATTCTAATGTAACTAACTTGCCATTTTCCTGGGAGACCAGGAAGTAGTTCAGAATATGCCATTGTCCATCAGAACAATAGTTATTAGGAAAAAGTTCCTAGGTAACAATAGATAAAATTTCTAATCTGCTTTAATAAATATTCATGTTCTAGAAATGAAAAGGTTTGTTGATCCTTTAATCAAGAATATGTCAGACTAGTCAATAGTCATTGTCAAAAAGAGACCTTGAATTACTTTTTTATGCACAATAAGAATCTAAATAATTGCTCCAAACACAGTTTTTCTAAAAGAGAAAGTCAATTTTTAACTAATATACCTTAAAATCAGGCAATAGTGACAAAACATCCTGTATGCAGATGATGCGTGTTTACATGACGGTATTGCAAGAGAGGGCTTACAGCATATTAGGATTGCGTACATGCTCAAAGAACCAATAAATCTTCTAAACTTAAAAAAAATCCTCTCCAGTTCTATCCTATACCAATATAACGTTTTAAGAATCAGTGACCTCAAAATATGGATTGAGGCAGTGGCTACTTTTTTAATAGTCTCTTTTGTTATCAATAAAATGTTTCTGCAAATGACTGTTTAAACAAACTCAGAGAATTTAATATTTATAATTTTTAAAAGTTCTTTGTTAGAAAAGTTTTAAGCAGATACCAAATTAGGATAGTAAGAAATACCACTGTACAACCACTATGATGATTGTGATTAAAAACACATAATAACAATATTGGCAAGGATGTGAAAAAAATGGAATCTTCACACAACTGGCTGGTGGGAACGTAAAAGTGGCTTGTGGGAATGTAAATTGATGTTGCCTCTTTGAAAAATAGTTTAGCAGTTCCTCAAAAGGTTAAAAATAGAATTAAGTATGACCCAGCAGTTCCTTCCCAAAGTATATACCTAAGGTAACTGAAAACATATATCTACATATAAACTTATTTACAAATGTTCATAGCAGCATTATTCACACAATAGCCAGAAAAAGTGAAAACAGTCCAAATGCCCACTATCTGATGAATGGGTAAACAAAATGTAGTATATCCATACAATGGAATATTAATTTAGCCATCAAAAGGAATGAAGTACTGATACATTCTACAATATGGATGAACCTTGAAAAATTATCTCATCTGAAAGCCACTCATGAAAGACCACATAGTGTATAATTCCATTTATGTAAAATGTACATAATAGGCAAATATACAAAGACAGAAAGTAGATGAGAGATTGCCTCTGATGGGTTGAGGGAGGGACTGGAAGATGAGAGGTGAATGCTAGAGAATTTCTTTTAGGGGTGACAAAATGTTAGAAAATTAATGTGGTGATGGTTGTGTAACTTTAAATGGGAAAATGGTATGGTGTGTAAATTAAATACCACATGTGAAGATGTTAAAACTGGAAAATTTCACCACCAAAAAAAAAAGAATAGTATAATGAGTCCCAATATGCCTATCACTTAATTTCAAATTCTCAGTATATTGCCAGTCTTGTTATATATATGCCAAAGACTCCAGATAGACACTTTATTTAAGGAAATTCTAAATATTTTTGTAGAGTTGGAAACACCCCTACATTTGTGAGTCTTGCCATAAATGGGAAGTACTTTCCAGAGGGAACCTAAATCCTGTCTGTTGTTTTCCTTCATCATGGCTATGATGCCCTGTAAGCGTGGTACTCACAAATATTTGAAGACAGCAATGGCGATGCACTGGACCTCCAGAAGAAGGCGAAGAAGGCAGTATATACAGAGCAATGAGTCCTACTCCATTGCATCAAGTGCTGCCTCTGAGGACATCTAGAAAGCCAGGCACAATTAGAGGCTAATGCAATTGTGTATTAGTCTGTTTTCATGCTGCTGGTAAAGATATACTTGAGACTGGGCAATTTACAAAAGAAAGAGGTTTATTGGACTTACAGTTCCAAGTCACTAGAAGGCCTCACAATCATGGTGGAAGGTGAAAGGCACATATCTCATGATGGTCAACAAGAGAAGAGAGCTTGTGCAGGTAAACTCCCATTTTTAAAACCGTCAGGTCACTTGAGACCCACTCACTATCATGAGTACAGCACAGGAAAGACCTGCCCCCATGATTCAGTCACCTCCCACCAGGTTCCTCCCATAACATGTGGGAATTGTGGGAGTTAAAATTCAAGATGAGATTTGGGTGGTGACATAGCCAAACCACACCATTTCACCCCCGGCCCCTCAAAAATCTCATGTTCTCACATTTCAAAACCAAGTATGCCTTCCCAACAGCCCTCCAAAGTCTTAACTCATGTCAGCATTAACTCAAAAGTCCACAGTCCAAAGTCTCATCTGAGACAAGGCAAGTCCCTTCCACCTGTAAGCCTGTAAAATCAAAAGCAAGTTAGTTACTTCCTAGATACAAGAGGGATACAGGCATTAGGTAAATGCAGCCATTCCAAATGGGAGCAATTGGCCAAAACAAAGGGGCTACAGGCCCCATGCAAGTTCGAAATCCAGAGGTGCAGTCAAATCTTAAAGCTCCAAAATGATCTCCTTTGACTCCATGTCTCACATACAGGTCATGCTGATGCAAGAGGTGGGCTCCCATGGTATTTGGCAGCTCTACCCCTGTGGCTTTGAAGGGTACGGTCTCCTCCCTGGCTGCTTTCAGTGGCAGCATTGAGCGTTTGTGGCTTCTCCAGGTGCATGGTGTAAGCTGTCAGTGGTTATACCATTCTGGGGTCTGGAGGATGGTGGTGCTCTTCTCATAGCTCCACTAGGCAGTGCCCCAGCAGGGACTCTGTGTGGAGACTCAGACCCCACATTTCCTTTCTGCACTGCCCTAGCAGAGGTTCTCCACGAGGGTCGTGCCCCTGCAGCAAACTTCTGCCAGGGCATCCAGGCATTTCCATACATTTTCTGAAATCTAGGTAAAGGTTCCCAAACCTTAATTCTTGACTTCTGTGTACCTGCAGGCTTAAAAACGTAGAAGCTTCCAAGGTTTGGGGCTTCTGCCCTCTGGAGCAACAGCTAGAGCTGTACCTTGGCCTCTTTTAGTCACGGCTGGAGTGGCTGGGATGCAGGGCACCAAGTCCCTAGACTGCACACAATAGAGGGACCCTGAGCCCAGCCCACAAAACCACTTTTTCCTCCTAAACCCATGGGCCTATAATGGGAGGGTCTGCCACAAAGGTATCTGGCATGCGTTGGAGACATTTTCCCTATTGCTTTGGGGATTAACATTCAGCTCCTTGTTACTTCTGCAAATTTCTGCAGCTGGCTTGAATTTCTCCTCAGAAAATCGGATTTTTTTTTCCATCAAATTGTCAGGCTGCAAATTTTCCAGACTTTTATCTTCTGTTTCCCATGTAAAATTTAATGCCTTTGAGAGCAGCCAAGTTACCTCTCGAATGCTTTGCTGCTTAGAAATTTCTTCCACCAGATACCCTAAATCATCTCTCTCAAGTTCAAAGTTCTACAAATCTCTAGGGAAGGGGCAAAATGCTGCCAGTCTCTTTGCTAAAACATAACAAGAGTCACCTTTGATCCAGTTCCCAAGAAGTTCCTAATCTCCATCTGAGACCACCTCAGCCTGATTTCATTGTCCATGTCATTATCGGCATTTTGGTCAAAGCCACTTAACAAGTTTCTAGGGAGTTCCAAATTTTCCCGCATTTTCCTGTCTTCTTCTGAGCTTTCCAAGCTGTTCCAATCTCTGCCTGTTACCCAGTTCCAAAGTTGCTTCCACATTTTTGGGTATCTTTTCAGCAGTGCCCTACTCCCACTACCAATTTACTGTATTAGTCCATTTTCATGCTGCTGATAAAGACATACTTGAGACTGGGCAATTTACAAAAGAAAGAGGTTTATTGGACTTACAGTTTCATGTGGCTGGGAGACCTCACAGTCATGGCAGAAGGTGAAAGGCACGTCTCACATGGTGGCAGACAAGAGAAGAGAACTTGTGCAGGGAAACCCCCATTTTTAAAACCATAAGATCTCATGAGACGTACTCACTATCACAAAAACAGCACGGGAAAGACCACCCCCATGATTCATTCACCTCCCACCAGGTTCCTCCCACAACATGTGGGATTGTGGGAGTTACAATTCAAGATGAGATTTGGATGGGGACACAGCAAAGCCATATCTATCCTCAAGTTATTTAAAAGAACAAATACAGCCCATGGGGAAATTCCTGGAGGTTTCAATCTCAATCCTTTTAGTGATCTTACATAACAGAACTACAGGGCAAAACATGGGTCTAAGCCTGTACAGGGTATTCTTTCAGAGGGTTTGAGGAGATGCAGGTAGGGGTTAGTAAAATGCCACGTGCAAATGAATGGTTAATCTCAGCATAAAATTTATGAAAGGTCTTGAAAAATAATAATTTATATGCTTATTTGCTCAAGCACAAGAAAATAAAATGATAATACATGGAACGTATTCATAGCCTATGTACTTTTCATCATAGTGTTTATCACAGTTCAAAGTTTCCATTGATCTGTTTGTTTTTTAGCTCCCTAGAACTTAAACTCATGAACTTTGCTGCTGTCTTTTATGAAGCAAGGTAAGTTTATAATTAGCATTGACAAAGTCATACCAGAGTTCATGAGAAAATTTGAGTAAATGACAAACAAGTGATAATCATGACACATGTTCTTTGTTTTTGGAAAATTGCAGATTTGAAATATATACATGTTCTTACATGCATTGATTATATACAATTGTAATCCTGGCCTATGTTTTAATTTTCCTTTTTATAGAATCGTAGAAGTTAGACAGACCTGGATACCTTTGTTGTGTTCTGAAGAAAGCCTCAGTGAGCAATGGAATAAGCATAAAATAAAGGCTATCTTTTGATATTCTAGTTCAGGTTTTTATTTCTATGTATTATCTATTATCTTTGCTTTCCAAATTACATTGAAATATTATGAAAACACATTTAAAATAATATACATCAAATCAGTAAACGTGTCCTTCCTATATTAATGTTATAATTAAAGACTCTGAGCCTGAAAATTCTAAGAAAGAGAGAGAGAAATAGGGGAAGGAAGAAAAAATGAAGAAAATGAGTCCTTCTTTCTTTCCTGGAATAGAACAGAATACACTTGTTTATAGCCAAACAGAAGGCAACCTTTGTCTTGACTATCCCTATTTTATCATGTTAAAGCCAACTTACAGGTAAACATTTTTATTCTAAAATTCAGGGTTCAGCTTATTCATCAATTATGGCTGAATGCTATTCTTTTTGCTTTAAGCTTTATGATGCATAAGAAATACTGAAACGCTTGAACAAAAATATTTTCTCACTCCTGAGTTGCCTGCAGGTTACTTGTAAAAACATTCACTTTGTAATAATTAGGTCAGTGCTGACTTACTGATTCCTTCTTTTATGTCTCCTTTTATTCTTTTGCTCATTATTGAGCTATATAAAGACTATGTGATACAGTCAGTGAATATTCCTGGGAAAAGCAAATGACCAAAATTCACCAGAGAACATTCTGCACACATCGATTTTCTTTTTTCTAGGATTAATGACTAGGGCCATTTAGTGCAGGCCTTTAAAATTTGGTACCCAATGGCATTCATTTAATTAGAAGTCTTTTTCACTCCCTGCACATATTCAATAACATGAGGCTGAGTACTGTCATCTGCCTATCTTATAACTGAGAGATAAAAACAGATTCCTTATTTTAGCTCATTCCCCACTTGAAAAAACATGAATCTTTTTAAAAATTGTCCTTAAAAGTGAGAGATAATAGGAAGGGTATGGAGAGACATTAGCCTACAGAAATGACAAAATCCTAAGGTTCTATGCTCCTATAATGCTTCAGTATAATAAACTCCAGATATTAAATATTTTCAATTCCATTTCCTTACAATAGTTATTTTGCAAATGAGGACATTAAGGCAAAGTTGTGATTGGTTCTTTGCGTATGAATTATACAAATCATTAATTTTCTAAATCTTGACTTCAGAAACTCTCCAAGAAGCCTTCTTGCCTCTTCTGTATGAGTTAGCTAATCTTGGGGAAGGAAGATGTTAAGGGATAAAAAAGGAGATGACACTCAAAATCACTGGCCCTACTTATCAGATGCTCTTGCCTGGAAAACAGTGTGGTAGAAGCAGGACAGTCTTGCAGTCAGCATGGCCTGTGTTTAAATCCCAACTCAGCTATTTACTAACCACGGAACACACCTGTGCTTTTAGCCTTGCTTTTAAAGTGGGAATAAAAAATAAAGAAAGCAAAAACAACAAAAGAAAAATCTATCAGTAAATAATAACCTCACAGGATCCTCATGTGAATTACATATGATATTTATCAATGTGAAGTACGTTGTAGGTAGTGAAAAAAAGCCATTTGTTTCTCCCTGGGAAGTTATCAGTATTCCTGCAAAGGCTATAAGGAGAAATTGAACTTACTATCTAAACTAAGGGTGCTTGTCTTAGTTTTGAAGTTATTTTTCTTAAGCCACAATTCTCCAAGATCTCTCACTTTATCCTACCCCAGCGTAGCTGTGTATAAGATTTTATAATTCTATCTTTGTGTAATAATCGGATGTATATCTTTTGGAGAATTCTATTGCAACTGCCAGCCTGGTGAATTCTGGTGGTATACTGGCAAAGTGCCTCTCAGGCAAAAAAAAAAAAAAAAAAAAATCCCCCATTAATAGCATCTGCCAATTTCTGTGGGGTAAATACTTCCACCTAGGCCAATTGCAAACTAATAACAGTTTAGCAACTGCCTTGCAAAATTCCTGCGTATTTAACAATGGGCTCATATGAGCCAGTCCCAGCCAGCTCCAGCACTTATCAAAAAGGAATATGAAGTCAGTTTGCTAGCAAAAGGACACAAGTCCAGAAGTCAGAATGGGACAGGTTTAGATTGAACAGTACCTAAAAATTGACTGCAAGGTCCTTGGGGACAAGGCCTACGTCTGATTCAGCATTTTTATCTTCTGTAGTTCTCAGCAAAAGAAATATTTATGGATTAAAGACTAAAACTCAGCCATGCAATATATTGTGTGCGTGTGTGTGTTGACCTTATATAGTCAGAATTTCTGTTAAAATCAGAAAAGAGTTACATGACATATCAAATTTAGTTAGAGAGAAAATGTTGGATAATATCTTAAACCTAGCTCCAGTTTACTAGTACTTGCAAAACCATTAGGATCATGAAAATATATTTAAAAAATGGAAAGTTGATGGCAAATAATACTGTTTTGTAGCTATATTTAATACTCACATATACTGTTTTCAATTACCCAGTAATGCTCACATACTACATTGTGCTATAAACATTTAAAAAACAGATCTTTTATTAAATCACAATTTCAAGATTCTGAGCATCTTCCAAAATAACCCCTACTTATTCCAAAAGAATTCATAACATTTTGCTGGTATCTCAGTCTCTTCTGAGGAGAAGTTATTCATAGAGAAGACTGCACACTGCTACTTTTTCTCTATATAAATACATATTAATATTTAACCTGAAATTACAAGATAGTTAATCTCTTAGGTTAGGTCATATGAAATGACCAATAATCAACTTTTTTTACCTACAAAAATGGTAATTTCATATAGTTCAGTCTACTAGAATATTTTTTATTCCTCATCTAGTCCAACCTTTTCGGGTTTTAAGTGAGGAAACAGAAACTTCAAGGATATTTTAGATATTTTAGAAAATTTTCATAGTGGTTACATTCAGAACCAAAATTGTCAGGCTGCTCCATTTTCCAGTACGTTCATTAATAGTGATTTTGAGAAAGAGAAAAAAAAATATTTCATACCAGAGAAAATCTATCACAGAGAAAGCTTCCGTGCTGGAAGCTTGGCAAGAGTATGAATAAAACAGGGTGGCTCCATAGGAAGAAAGAAAACACCCAGTAACTCCAGAGCATGCTCCTTCATCCTACCCAAAAAACTTCTCAAAGAAATTTAAATCAGGTAGACGTTCAAAATTTTGAGATTAGGAACAAGATTGGAGATTGAAATGTGGAATAACTATTTTCAGTAACTTCATGACATTTTGGTTTTTCAATATATTGTTCCAAAAAAATCAACATCAACAATAAAACCTACAAATGTCTCTGAAATGTAAACAGAAATGAGACTAGGTTACTCTAAAATAAATCTCCAACACAGGGAAAGAAAACAATACTGAATCTAAACATCAGTAGAAAATAAAAATAACAGTTTGCTTATAACTAGATTTTATTACTTGTGCTAGACCTTGTGCTTTACATGTATTCATTTAACAAGCACAGGCAGTATCATGAAAAAATTAGCCCATAGGCTTCAACAGAAGCCTAGGATTTTTTTTAAAAAACTTTTGTTTTAGGTTCATGGGTACATTTGCAGTTTTGTTATATAGGTAAATTTTGTGTGATAGGGGCTTGGTATAGATTATTTTGTCACCCAGGTAATAAGCATAGTGCTCAACGGTAGTTTTTTTTTACTATCTCCCTCCTCCTACCTTCCACCCTTAAGTAGACCCCAGTGTCCGTTGTTCTAGTCTTTGTGTCTATGTGCACTCAATGTTTACCTCTCACCTTTCAAAGTGAGGATATACAGTATTTGGTTTTCTGTTCCTGCGTTAGTTCACTCAGGATTTTGGCTTCCAGCTCCATCCATGTTGCGGCCAAGAATATGATCTCATTCTTTTTTATGATTGTGTAGTATTCCATGGTGTATATGTATCATGTTTTCTTTGTCCAGTTTACCAATGATGGGCATTTAGCCTAGTTTAAGTCACAGGTTTTTTTTTTTTTTTTTATTATACTTTAAGTTTTAGGGTACAGGTGCACAATGTGCAGGTTAATTACATATGTATACATGTGCCATGTTGGTGTGCTGCACCCATTAACTCGTCATTTAACATTAGGTATATCTCCTAATGCTATCTCTCCCCCCTCCCCCCACCCCACAACAGGCCACAGTGTGTGATGTTCCCCTTCCTGTGTCCATGTGTTCTCATTGTTCAATTCCCACCTATGAGTGAAAACATGCGGTATTTGGTTTTTTGTCCTTGCGATAGTTTGCTGAGAATGATGGTTTCCAGCTTCATCCATGTCCCTACAAAGGACATGAACTCATCATTTTTTATGGCTGCATAGTATTCCATGGTGTATATGTGCCACATTTTCTTAATCCAGTCTATCATTGTTGGACATTTGGCTTGGTTCCAAGTCTTTGCTATTGTGAATAGTGCCACAATAAGCATACGTGTGCATGTGCACATGAAAAAATGTTCATCATCACTGGCCATCAGAGAAATGCAAATCAAAACCACAATGAGATACCATCTCACACCAGTTAGAATGGCGATCATTGAAAAGCCAGGAAACAACAGGTGCTGGAGAGGATGTGGAGAAATAGGAACACTTTTACGCTGTTGGTGGGACTGTAAACTAGTTCAACCATTGTGGAAGTCAGTGTGGTGATTCCTCAGGGATCTAGAACTAGAAATACCATTTGACCCAGCCATCCCATTACTGGGTATATACCCAAAGGATTATAAGTCACAATTCCAACACTTAACAGCTGTCAGTTCTTTGGTGCATGCCATTTACCTCTCTGTGCCTCACCTTCTCTTGCCACACAATGGGAGTAACAACACCAACTTTGTGGTGTTGTGAGGATCAAATGAGACAATGGATGTAAAGCATTTATGCACATCTGGCACATGATCAACCCTGTTTCAAATGCTTTTAGGGCTAAATGCTGAGTCAAAAATTGAATTCTCAACTGAAAGAAATGAAAATGAATTGTTTTAAGGAGAAATTATCAAGTCACATCAATAGGCTTTCCTTTTTAAAAAATCCTGAAGGGCTTTTGAAAATTAACAGCAGGAAGGAGAGGGAGCAGAGGGAAAAGAGGACCTACAAGACAGAGATCCTGTTTTACCTCTACCTCATTAATGCAGAGACAATAGTAATCCTGTGTCAACTAATTACAACAGATCCCTTCATAATAATTCTTGATAATGCATACAATAGATATAGACGGTATGGTGGGCCAAGTTCACATTTCCCACATCTAGAAACCACACACAAAAACCTTGCTGTGTCAATGTTACCCTACAAAGTGAATATATTTTTCCAATCTGAAAGAAAATATTTCTTTCCATATAAAGGAAAATTCTAGTCTTTTCTAGAAAATGAGAACAGCACACGTTCTCACATTCTAGACTCATATAATTCCCAATATGTGAATGAAAGCACCATGAGGTTAATTATTCAGATTTTTTAATGTACACTGTGCCAAATTTATACTGTTCAATTTTAGTTTAGTTATTGTGTCATATATACACTACTTGTCTAGTCATATGCCTGTGAATATATTTAATTTTTTTGTTATTAAGATCAACTCCCTTTAAAGAAAAACAAAATATCTGTTGCAATCCCAATTATCTGTGTGTGAACAGAATACCTAACATAAAAGAAGCCCACAGTCACTATTATTTATCAAATAACAGCAAAATCATTTCAGCCAAGACCCAGGAATATGCCATTTTCTTTTTCCCTGGAATCTTGCATGGAAATGTTTCGGCAGCAGCAAATTGCTATCCCGTGGACTCTCATCATAGTTGGTGATTTTACAAATATGCAGAGCAAAGAACCCAGAGTTTCACCTGGCTGTAAATATGACAGCATGGCTGCTGATCTGCTCTGTGGCTGAGGCACTGTGGAGCTGAGCTTTTCTGTACAGCGAGGGCTTTATTTCTCCAAATGATCAAAGGATCACTTGGGCACAGTCCCTTGGAAGAGAGGAGATTTCACTGGGAGACTAGCTCACTGATTTTCTGCTTAACTGTATTATCAAAACTGCAAAAGGGAGGAGACGAAAGGACAGGAAAACAATTCTTTAACATATCTGTCAGAAATTGAATGAGACAAACCATTCCATAAGATCTTCTAATTTTGCCAAAATTATATCTACTGTCAACTATTGGAATGTTGAAGCAGTAGTAACATTGAAAGTGCTGGAGGAATCCTCAGGTTGTGCTTGCATTTGGCAAGCAAATGTGGTGAGTGTGCAGAATAATAAGGATCCTCCTTCTCCAGCTGGGACCACAGGCGTGTGCCACCATGCCTGACTAATTTTTGTATTTTTAGTAGAGATGAGGTTTCACCATGTTGGCCAGGTTGGTCTTGAACTCCTGACCTCAGGTGATCCTCCCGCCTTGGCCTCCCAAAGTGCTGAGATTATAGGCGTGAGCTATCGTGCCTGGCCCTGTTTGTAGTAATTTGGAAAGAGGCACACAATATTAATCTTAGAGAAATTAAAATGTATTCCTGTATATGTGTTGAGAGTACTATATTTATTTGTTTACATTTCAAAAAACTTGTATGCACTTACACTGCCACATTTCAATTCTCTTATCTGACTATCTTTTCTTCATTGCCTCTTCTTTCTCTGGTACCTAATACTGATTTTGTTGGTTTTGTTTTAGGATGCCCTCTCTTGGTGACTATTTTTAAATTATTTCCCATGGCTTCAAGTACCACCATCAATGGGTACCCTGTGACTCTATGGTCCTGGTTCCTACACTGACCCAAGTTCCATAGTAAAATTTCTCATTGCTTCATCA
Source organism: Homo sapiens (assembly GCF_000001405.40). Lineage (NCBI taxonomy): Eukaryota > Metazoa > Chordata > Mammalia > Primates > Hominidae > Homo > Homo sapiens. The sequence goes on along the minus strand of NC_000018.10, from coordinate 53,276,829 downwards.
ATATCTTAAATTCAATGTTTCTTTACTACCTTAAACCCAAATGTCAAAGATCTTATTTATTTCTCATGTAATCCCACTGTCAATTTTGGCTCTTTCTTCTCCCAAGCTCCTTTCTACTCAAGAAGGCATGAGGTCCCTTGGATTTTACTTTCTAGATATATCTCAGACCCTTCCCTTCATTTCCATCTGCATGATTATTAATCATACTGGTTCAGCTTTAAACATCTCTCAAGTCACATTAATAAATTCCAGCTAGCCCATGATTTTATGAGGTCACATGGCATTAGGAATGCCCTACCTGGAAAGGTCAGTAAGGAAAGAAGGACATTTAGAGTAAGGTGGTTTTGTGCTTATTTTCCAGAGAATTTAGAAACAGATTATGTTTATTGACTCCAATCTAAAGAAAGCAAGAACAATGGAATGAGAACTAGAATTAATATGTGATCTTTCTAAATACAGGTAGTGATGTAAAATGTGAAAATAAGGAAAAAAGAAAGGTGACATATTTGTCCATGGGGATTTATCAGGTCCATACAAAGATGATTTAATTATCTAGGGAATGTATTTTGTTAAGCAGCCTGTTTACAATTGATTAAAGAACCCCAGTTGAGTGAAGCTATATGTTATAGATTTTCTATTAGAAATGCAAATAATTCCTGTCCAGCTGAGAAGATGTCAAAGTTGATAGTTTATTACTGTTAATGGATATTAGCCTATTTCATAACTATCCTAGCAAACATATTCTAATTTTTTATTAAAGTGCCAATAAATGCCAGGCTTGCCATTTTCCTCATTCTGTCATTAATTAATGAAATGAATAAAATCTTTGATATGTTCATTTTATATTTATGAGAGTCATATTTTTAACTTTTGAAAATTATATTTTACTAATGGCCTGAAAATAACTGTTTGTTAAAAAATCCTGCTTTAACTCTAAAGGAGTGTTTTTATTTGTATTGCTGATATAATATAAAGGCAGAAAAATTGTAACAAAATTATTTTAAAAAAATTATAGTCAATAACATTTGGTTATACACATTATCAGCGATGACCCTTTTGTATAGACTACCACATTAGCTCTCAAAAAACCAGACCTACCTGAATAGCAAAACCAACAGGAAATTAAACATAAGAGATATTTCCTAGTGCTGCTTGATTTTTTTAGTGGGTTGTTGCTTGCTATATTGTTATAACCAATTTCTCAGAGTAGCCATGTTTGTTTACTTGACTACGAATGCATAGTTTTTGGCAAAAAGTTTTTGTTCCAATTTTTCTGTGTTATACTGTAATACAGTGAACTAAAGGAAGCCAGCAAAAAATGTTGAGTGAAAGGACTACCAATTTAAAACCAATTAAAGAGAACTATCTAATTCTCTCTCTGTGACACGTTTAGTTAGACTGTAGAATTCAGGGCCAGTGGAGATCATATATTTGACTGAGTTTTCCAAAGGTCAGTATAATTTTATCATAATTGCAGTGATGACTGAGAGAAGAAGAAAAGGCAAAAATTCTTAGAGAATTTTTGTACAATGATTTTTATCTTCTTAGTACTTGCAAAGCAGTAATAGCCTTAAGCTCAATCTAGCAGTTGGCTAAATATGGGTATATGTTGTTCTCTAATAGTTTTTTCAATGCATGTTTTATCTCTTAAGATGGGAGGCAATCACATTCTTAACGAATTCCACTCTTCTGCATAGCTGACATCATTCTTTTAATCTCTGTGCATTCCTCACTATCCTAAGCATGCACCAGAGGCACCAAATATTAATTATCTTTATTTGCATTGATTGACAATTTAAAATTTTCAGTGTAGTTGGGATTTACAGCTAGAGGACAAGATTTGAGAGTTATAGTTGAAACAAATACATATGCCCTACCCAAAATGCAACTGTCTGAGGCTCAGTGCTTCCCCGTACTGTAATATGCAGAAGAATCACCTAGGGAACCTTGTTAAATGCAGATTTGGATTCAGTTTGACTAATCTGAAGATTGAGACTGTATTTCTAAAGGATCCTAGGTGATCCTGATGCTTCTGGCCAAGAGACCACACTTCGATCAATAAGGGCCTACACAGCTTGCTTTAAAAGGAAGTGGCAATCCAGGCCCCTAGTTTCTGAATAAAACCAAGAAATAAACCCATCTGTAATACGAATAGGTGTTCAACTGGGATTTTCAAACGAATTCCTCCTTATTTCCCTGAAAATCTTGCTTCTAAAAAACCAATCTAATTCTAGGAGTAGATATGTTCAGTTTTCTCCTATGCAACTTGCAGTGGCATCATGAGACACATGGTAAAGAACAGAGAGGCAAATCGTGTGATGTCCACAATATACTGCACACTTACTTCATACCTGGAAATCAGATGTCATGACAGCATATTGCAATTGATTCAATTTAAAATATTTACATAAAAACCCTGCTTACATAGCAAAGTTGTTCCTAATAGGATGAAAAGTGGAATTTGATGGGGCAAAAGTGCAACTTGACTATGAGATTCTGGATGATGTAGCAACAATCACAATCCCTACGAGTAGCTCCTGCACATGAAACATGATTGATATAACATGCCATGATTCTTCTGTAGAATCGATAACAGCCCTCTCACATGTTGTCTACACTGAAATATAAAGAGGGTTTAAGTTACGAATGTACTTGTGTGTGAATATATATATGCAATTTATTGAAAAAGTAAATAAATTTGTGATAGTGTCACTGAGAAAAGGTAGCATAGTTTCCTCCTGTTTTGCCCCCTCCTTCACCTATTTTGTTTTCAATACATTTGAAAAATTCCTTTTAAATGTATCTTGCTGCTTGTCAATGATGCTTCTCTTTTCCACACTGCTTAATTAACTCTTTTCCTCAGGCTCGCCTAAGGCCCTATTGATTTCTCTCCCTACACAATATTATCAGGGAACATGAGCTGCTTCTACATGGCTGTGGAGTACATGTGCTGGTGCCTCACAGATGTGCCAGGGTCACATGTGTGATGCGCGGGCTCAATTGAGATAACTCACTGGGACAAGAGCAGTGAGCCCTGAAGTGTTGCTGAGTTGAGAAGAAGATTCATATTGAAATAACTGGGGTAAAAAAAAAAAAAGCAGCAGAAAGAGATAGGACCTAAGGAGATAAATTATGAGAAAAAAAGATGTCATGTGTAGAAGAACAATATTTTCAATGGCATGGAAACCCATTGTAATAACACAAACTCAGAACTTATTTGCAAATAGCTTTCAGGCAACACTCATGAAATTTAATATTTAATTTTTAAAGTGGAACTGAGTATCAAATAATTTTCTTGACCGAAGGACTATGAATTGGATAATTTGTTTTTTCAAAGGATTTTAATGATATATGTTCTTTAAATCCTAGACATTTCATAATTTGTGAATCCTACCAATCAAATTTCCTTTGGCTAAAGTTATTCAATATAGCCATTATTAATATATATAATCATGATGAATCAGGTCATTTTGCACACACATATGAATGATTATATCAATCACCAATGGCAAGAACAAAAAGAGGACAAACCTCATTGACTGAAATAAAATTCAGAGGCTCATGTATAATTTCATATTATGAAAAAAATCATAAGATTATTATTCATAAGAGCACATACTTCAGGCTCCATGGGAGTAAATGAGATTGTGATGTCTTAAATATAATAGCAATACAACTGCATTTAATTCACAACAACTCTGTCCCACTTGTCTGCATGTGGCTGATCTTACTGCTCTTGAAAATGCAGGAATAATCAAGCTAAATTATTTCCATTGAATAATGGATCATTTTCCCTCTTTTAGTGTTTGCTACTGACTCATAATCAAGGTTCATATCCAGCCAATAATTGTGTTCTTTTCTCACTAGGTTAATTTATATTTCTTTATCTGTGTTGAGCTGTTTATTTATTTTCATATGAAGCTTCATTCTTCGAGAATCATATATCAATTTGTGGTGATATTTAAATGCTATTTAAAGAGAACAGCTTTTTCCGAAACAATCAAAGGATAACACAATTTTTTGAAGCTTGTTTTCTAAGGAAAAATATTAAGAAGTAAACATTGCTACCTCAATCCAGTGAGAGGTGCTAAACACTCTTTTCCTTACAATGAGATTTTGAAAAATATACGAAATTACATTGCAATGCTTACAACTCTGTGTGGTCCAGAGTAGACACTCAACAAATAATTACTGAATATATAAGTGACTATGTGAAGGAATGAATGACTTCCATTAGAAGATAAAAACAATCTGAGATGTGAACCAGTGTGTCATAAGTAGATCCATTACCAATTCATACTATAACTCAGAATCATTTTGTAATGATAGCTAGCAGAAATACGCATACCTCTTTGAAAAACTCTTCTGGCAAAGAGTGGCAATTGATAGTTCTGTGAGAAAAGATGTCTTTCAAAACTCAAAACTGGTATCATTCTCTAATGAGAATGATTACTCATCAAACACAAAATTACATAGAAAAATACAATGTATATTCTGTTGTTTTCTCAAATATTTTATTAATAAATCCTATATATTTCCTTATTTTAGATGTGGAAAATAGGCTAGGTAATACATATTCTACTTTCAGAATTCCCTGACCTAATGCTAAACCAATACTCCATCTGATTAACTCAGCTAAACAGACATGTACTAAAAGGACTCAGATCAGTCAAGTCAGTTGCTTGCCTAAATTAACCACTGGGTGAAACAAATTACTCAGTTCTGCCAAAATACTAAGTTTCTTAACCCTCTAATGAAGGACCAGTCACTCTGAAGCACAGAGGGTGTAACTGAAACATCTTATCACAACACAGCAAACTGACTGAAATTGGTGTGAAGTTAATGGAGGGCACACAAATGGCCTTTTCCTAAAAAGAAGCTTTAAATACAAAATACGTTGCTGTATCTATTAACTATAAAAATAGGCAGGTGACAATACATTCAGTGATCTGTTATTACTTCATAGCAATACTAACTTATCTTAGGCTGACAAGGGGAGACGCTGGTAGGCAGCCTCAAAAATGGTGCCCAGTGATCCCTTTTGTGTAAACCCCTTACTCTTGTGTAATCCCCTCCCCATGGCTGGACCTACTGACTTGCTCCTAATCATCAAAATACAGAAAAAGTGGTGGTTACAAAAAGGTCACAAAAGATAGCTTCCGGCTTGAGTTTCCCTGTCTTGCTGGCTTGCTCTGAGGGAATTCAGATGCCTTGCTATGACCTGCCCTATGGAGAGGTCCATGGAGCAAGGAACAGATGTCTCTGTCCAACAGCCAGAGTACCTGGGGCCTGCCAACAGCCAAATGTATGAGCTTTGAAGCAGACCTTCCCCAGTCAAACTTGCAGATGAAAACACAGCTCCTATTCATAACTTGAGACAGCATTGTGGGAGATTCTGAGCCACAGGCACCCAGCTGAATCATACCTGGATTCCAGACTCATAGGAACTGGCAGATGATGTATATTTGTTGCTTTAAGCCAGTAAGTTTTGGGGTAATTTTTTATGCAATAATAGATAAGTATTACATATTGCTTCCTCCACTCATTACATAGTGATGTAGTTAAAAACCTCCTTTAAATATCTCATCTGTATCTATGGTCAGAGACCACTTAGGAAACCTCCCTTCAATAGCACTTTTCTAGATTGTAGAAAAGAAAGTGCTCCTACTTATTAACCAAAACACTCTAGTATTATATAGGCTGATATGTGGGTTTAACCTTACCCTTGTAGCATAGCACAGTGGTGAGTAGCAAAATCTCTAGAGCCAAAATGTTTGATTTCACACTGAGCTCCACTATGTAATAGCTATGCTCCATTGTGGTAGTTATTGAAAATTTTATGCCTTAACAATAAAATGGGTAATATTACTTACCTCACAAAGTATTGTGAGAATTAAGCCAGTTGAATGTACTTTTAATAAGTAGTACCTGGCACATAGTAAGGACTCTATAAATATAATCTGCTTATACTAGAAAAAAGATCCTAGAGAGTTTTCTCTTAATAATAAGTAAAAATTATGAATAAAGCCTTAAAATCATGCCATAAGATGAAGTACTTTGGATAAATCTGCAGAGTTAAAATCTACATAGGTTAGGGCCCTAAAACATAATTTTAAAAAGATAACAATGGGTACCAATGTGCCATATGGTATCGAGGGGCTAATTACATTTTCAGCATCATGAAGTACAAAGTAAAACTGTAAGAAGTAGGGAGCCCTTTGTTTCCAAATTCTGCCTTCTAAACATATTAGGGTAAAACCTCCCAGTATATGAATCCCAGGAAGCAAATTGACATTTGTATCTTTAAACAATTTTCCAAAACCGTCATTTTAATGTTGAGATCTGTCCAAACTCTAGGATTAAAATCTTACAACTAATCATATATAATTAGGTTTTTAGAAAGATTTTGAATACTCTATTCTTCCTATATGAAAATATTTGGCACTTTTCCCCCTCCCCCAAAAACAAAGAATAACAAAAATTGACTAGGAATTCCTTACTATAGTTAAAATATTCAGACCACCATCTTCAAAGCATCTTTCAAATCCCCTCCTATGTTTGAACAAAAGCATTCTTGGAGCCAGGAGCTTATGGGTAGCACTCTTTTGAGGTAAGTGGTCAAACTGCAGATATTGTGCATCTGTCTTAAAATATGGATGGAAAAATAAAAACTCAGAATTTTGTTCCTACCTCTCTTGCTTTTCTACCTTGCTAGGGAGAGGTTGTCTACTACAAATTGCATAACTACCTGTCCCTCCAACTAGTGTTTCCAGCATAAACAGCCCAATGGAGCAGCCTGGATTCTTCATTATCCCATGAATGCACCACATGCATTTTCTAAACCCTGCCTTAAAGTATAGTATATTTCTCTTCTAGAAGGCTCTTTCTCCGTCAACATTCCAAGCCTTAATCTATCCTATTGCCATCCATTCTCCAGCCCAAACTCTAGGGGGCTCACCTCTAGGAAACACTCATCTTATCGGAGAGATATCATATAATCCAGAAATTATACTTGAGTAAACTGACTCTAGAGCAACCAGACTCTAGAGTGCAATTTCTAGATTTTCATCTAGCTGTGCACTTTGGGACTGTTCCTTAACATTTCTTTGCCTCAGTTTCCTTGTCTACCAAAAGGGTTCAATAATAGTCTTGACCACATGGAGCTATCAGGAGAAACAACAATACAATATACATAGACGACTTAGCATTGTGCCTGGCGCAAAACAGGTACTTGAAAGACAATGATTAATGTAATTGCCATTAATATTACGACTATTATTCTTAACATTCTATGCCTTTCTCTTTTCCTATTCTTTGCATGCAGGAGAATAATTTTCCCCTGTACTTTTTCACTTAAGATCTAGGTTGATATGGTGGAGAGGGGGTGTCATAGTTGGAGTCACCACCTTGGATGGAGTTTTGTGCTCAGGGTTGACTAATAGGCTTTAATGTAAAATAGACCATTGTTGTTAAACTAAGAACACCAGGATGAAACCTGTTTTGATTTGGCAAATGCAAGAAAAATTCGTGTATGTGTGTTGTTAAAGTTCAATGAACAATATTTTAAAACATTTTTTGTTAAAACCACATTTTATCATTTTATAGCAAATAAATAAAGAATACGCTAGTTATTTTATCATTCCAGTCAAGCAAGCTAAAAGAAAAATCCCATATGCACAGGCACAAGTGCACATATACCCACAGGCATGCGCGTGCATGCACACACACACACACACACGCACACACATCTATCAGGATAATTGTTGTGAACTCTAAACTTGAGTAAAACTTGCCCCTGAGATGCCTTTCCTGCTGAGACCATCTGTTCACTAATGGACAATATTCTTTCCTCTAAAAACACATTTCTAGTGTAAATGACCTGGAGACTACACTCTATAAAAAGCAATTGCCTTCTATCCCAAAGGTGGTCTTTGCAGCCCTAGTTCCTTGTCCACTCATCCATCCTCATTCCCTACAGTTCCTCACTGCAGGCCAAGCCCAGTCCTCTGCTCTTTAGCTGACACACAGTGGCAGTGTCTTTGGCCCCTCATCCTGTTCAGGTGGTCATAATAAAGACTGAGAGAGAGCAAAACAGAAGTAAGGCTTTCTGAAATCACCGTGACAGCACCACGATTCCTCCATAAAAACATTGCCATTTTAAACTTGTGAGATTTCAGCAGTTGGACAGAGATATGAATCTCGCCATTTTTTTTCAAGGCCAAATAACAAAGGGAATAAAGGGGAATGAGAATAGCATTGCAAATGAGAAAATTGAAGGCTGAGAAGTCCTGATTAGACACATTCTTGAGAGAAGCTTATTGAATATGTAAGAAGGCATTTCATCTTAACATTTCTCTGGGTGAAAGGAAGAAAAAATATTTCTTAATTTTAATTCTATAAGCCAAATAAAGTGATAATTCTTGTGATTTTAAATTTTATTAATTGTGAAAAAGCATAATTTCCTTCCTCCCCAAATCTATGTGAGGCTAGTTTAAACTCAACATATCTGTTACATGTTCTATTTACATAAGTATGTGTAAATCAGATTGCCTAGTTTGAATTGCTAACATTTTTTGACAAATCTGTAAAAATCATGATGCTTTAGGTTACAGAAGAAATGACCTCCCACTGAGAAAAAATTCCTTTGAAAGAAAGCCAGAGACAACACTTAATATTAATCTTGTTTTTGGCTAAATTTACCTCAGAGACATTCTATAAACTCATTTTTGCTGCCTGTGTTCAAGTGGAAATCAAATATTTCAGATACAATGGAAGCTCTCAGCTACCCCCCAAAGTAATAAGTTTGCAATAAGGTGCTCACACGGGGGAATTTTTTAGTGCTTTGAAGTGCTTACTTTTTATGACTGCAAAATAATTATACCTGTAGTTATAATACAAAAGGATCTCCTTTAGAAGTAATCAATCTGTACCAGGTTTGAATTTTATTAAATATTAAACCTTGGAAACCTGCTATTCACAAACCTAAAAGTATTTATGTCTACTCAACTTGACAAGTCCCAAACATAAAGTACTGACCATTTCTCATTAACAATAACGAATATGTGGCCGGGCACATTGGCTTACACCTTTAATCCTAGCATTTGGGGAGACCAAGTCAGGAGGATTGCTTGAGCCCAGAAGTTCGAGGCTAGCCTGGGCATGATGGTGTGACCCCGTCTGTACAAAAAATAAAACTAAAAAAAATTAGTTGGGCATGATTATTCATGCCTGTGGTTCTAGGAGGATCAATTGAGCCCAGGAGGTTGAGGCTGCAGTAAGCAGTGTTTGCACCACTGCATTCTACCCTGGGTGACAGAGAAAGACCCTGTCTCAAAAGAATATTGGCCGGGCACAGTGGCTCATGCCTGTAATCTCAGCACTTTGGGAGGATGAGGCAGGAGGGTCACCTGAGGTCAGGAGTTCGAGACCAGGCTGGCCAACATGATGAAACCTCGTCTCTGCTAAAAATACAAAAGTTAGTTAGGCATGGTGGCAGATACCTATAATCCCAGCTACTCAAGAGGCTGAGGCAGGAGAATTGCTTGAACCTAGGAGGTAGAGGTTGCGGTAAGCTGAGATTGTACCACTGCACTCCAGCCTGGGTGACAGAGCAAGACTGTGTCTGTGTCTATGTCTGTCTCTGTCTCTGTCTCTCTGTCTCTGTCTCTCTCTCTCTCTCTATATATATATATATATGTGTGTGTGTGTGTGTGTGTGTGAGAGAGAGAGTGTGTGTGTGTGTATATAAAGGTTAAACATAGTGTTATTGCATGACTCAGCAATTAATCTAGTTGTCTACCAAAAAGAAACAAAAACACGCATTTACACAAAAACTTGTACATAAATATTCATAGCAGCATTCTTCATAATAGTAAAAATGTAAAAACAGCCCAAACATCTGTGATCTGAAGGATGGATAAATGAAATGTTATGTCTATACAATAGAATATTATGCAGCAATCAAAAGGAATAAAATATTGGCACGTGCTCCAAATGGATGAACCTTAAAACATTTCAGTAAATGAAAGAAGCCAATCACAACAGACCACATCTAGTATGATTTCATTTATATGAAATGTTCAGAATACACAAATACATAGAGACAGAAATCAGACTAGTGGTTACCTATGGCTGAAGTGTGAGGAGGGCACTGCTAAGAGATTCATAATAAAAATCTACAATCAGATTGTGGTGATGGTTGCACAATTCTATGAGTATACTAAAAGCCATGAACTGCACACATTAAAAGAGTGAATTTTATGGCATGTGAATTACACTTCAACAACGCTGTTTTAAAAAAGAAAGAAAGAGCACAGGGAAGGGATCAAAGGCATTGGGTTGAGTCTCAACTTTGAGTGTTTGTAAATAAATTACTTCACCTTGAACTCTCATTTTACCCCAGGCATTGAAAAAAGCAAAATCAAATAACAAAAATCATAAAACAACAATAATAAAAAAATGTATTAAGTGAGATGATCTCCTCCAAGTTGTTCCAACTGCTGTCTTTTTAAATATTTATAGAGCATCTATTACATGGCCCATACAATGTATGAGGATTGAAATAGCAGTGTCCCTAGGACAGCACAGCAAGATAACAGTGTTGAGCTGTAGAGGTACACAGAAAAGAAACAAGATAATGAGAAATCAGGTATGAAATGTGTAGTGATGTTGACAAAAGAAGTAAAACATAATAGGAATTCTGGATTCATGAGGTCACTGACCTGGTGCTTGGTTAGGATTTGGATGGCTTGGAAGAAGTGAGGAAGACCCCAGAGCAGGAAAGGGCATAAACAAGGCCCAGAGGGAGAAACTTTCATGATATGTCCACAGGCAGGGTGGCTTAAAGTAGAGCTCAAGAGAGAATGCCAGGAAACAAGGATTGAAAAGCTGGGGGTAAACCAAAGAGATCCTTGGAAGATGCATCAATCCATTTAAAACGGGAACCTTGAAGAACAGAGGTATCACCAACAGAAAGTAAACTTCAGGGGATAGTAGCTAATTTTATGAGAAAGATCATGAGTTCCAAGTTTGAAATTCTGGTTCTGATAAGATGGCAAGGAGACCCTGTAAGCTTCTGAAAGCCCTAGATAACAGATCGGAGCTGAGAATGTCTGTTGCATCATCTGCATATCCTATCCTGCATTGGCATTTTTCCATGATAAGTTGATTTCTGGAACTATATGCCATGTAAGCATCTTTACATTTTTCATTCCCCAATAATATTGAAAGGTCAAGGAAACAGGTCAAACTTGATTAGGGTAAGATTCAGAAAACTAACAGGGAAACGGAAAATAAAAATGGTCTCCAAATTCTCAAGACATTATTCTCTATAGCAGAGAAAACCTCTTTTGCTGTCAATCATCACATTTGTTTAAGGCTTGATAATGATCAGTCCACATTTTGTAGGTTTTCTTTATACATGGAGTGTTTCTCCAATGCATAGTACACTTTTATGATAGAAACTCATCACCTAGAAATTATTTATGACATGCAAAAAAGTTTACCTTTTCTCCTCTAATGTCTTAGAGGCTGTCACCTCTATTAGTAATATTGAGCCAGGTTATAGCTAAGAAAGCTTAGTGCTGTAATACTGAACCAGGTTACAGCTAAGAGAGCTTAGTGCTGATGAGGCCAAGGACCTGGTTCTCATTAGCTAGCATTTGGGAAGAAAAGAACACATTATTTCCCATAGACTGCATCCTTAATGTCATCCGGTTGCTTCTGACATGGAGTATGCTTAGCTGAGATGGAGCTACTTTCCTACTAGCAAAAGTGTACGGTTGCTTTCACAGCTCACTTCTGGGCACATACTGGGCATTATGTGAACAGGAAAACACTCAGCAAACACTGAATAAAAATATAGTCTGTTTCAACAAGAAGTCCAAAAGCAAAAATTGTGAGCAAGATTCTTTTTTCTTCAAATATTACACAGTGTTTCTCAAGAATCTTTTTTGAAAGTAGCTACATTTGTTTTCAGGATGTGAAGATGCTTCTACCGCACTGCTTGACTTTATGGCATATTGTTCTGTCCATTCTGATTTTTTCCATCCTTATTCTTTTCAGCAAAAAAAATGATGATAATTATTGAGTTAAAGGGAGAATCACCTAACAACTACTTTTCAATGATCTAAACGCTGAGCAGCAGGTCTGTCTTCCACTGAACCTGAAAGACTGATACCACCTTTTCCAAATTTAGAAAGGAACCAGAGGGGCCACTGACTCCATCTCTGACCTTGTGGAAGAGGACCGTTAATCACAGTTAAACTCTAAGCCAAGAGCATTGCATGGGGATTGCCTAGGAGGTACCACTGTGTTTCTTTCTTCTTCTTCTTCTTTTTTTTTTTTTTTTTTTTGAGACGGAGTTTTGCTCGTTTCGCCCAGGGTGGAGTGCAGTGGCGCAATCTCAGCTCACTGCAACCTCCACCTTCTGGTTTCAAGCCTCGGCCTCCAGAGTAGCTGGAATTACACGCAGCCGCCACCACGTCTGGCTAATTTTTGCATTTTTAATGGAAATGGGGTTTTACGATGTTAGCCAGGCTGGTCTTGAACTCCTGACCTCATGATCTGCCTGCCTCGGCCTCCCAAAGTGCTGGGATTACAGGCATGAGCCACCGCGCCTAGCCCTGTGTTTCTTTTAAATACTGCTTCCCAAAATTCCCTGTAAAATAATTTCATGTTGACAGGACTTTATGAAATGTAAGGACCAACAATGTAAGAGGCTGTATTACCATTAGACTCAGAATGTTTCCTATGCTGATGGGATTTGTGGGTTGTAAGAGCAAAATACAGAACAAAGAATTTTCCTAATATATTTAACCCTTCTTTGAAAATATGCTTTGTGAATCATTATATTACACATAAATCAGAAACTATGCCTTATAGGAATTTTAAAACATTATTGATTGTAATTATTCCTTTAAAAAATAAAAAGGTTCCAAGATGAAACAACTGCAAATTGAGAAGGATATAATATCAGTAGGGTCAGAGTTTGTTACAAAATTATATTAATATTATAAATATCATAAAATCATTTAAAAATATAAAAGTAATATTTAGAGCTACTAACAGGGTATCTAATTCCAGTAAGTATATGATTGACATGTATTTTAAATATTATAATGCAAAACCAAAACTATATTGCACAACTTTAGTACAGAACTTCCGTAATATTTATGTCTAAAAAAGTTTGGAGAAAACATTGTGTGTTTTCAAGCATCCTTATTTTAGATGCACCATTAATAATGTTTCCCAGTCTTTCCATTATAATAACTACTTCTGTTCATAAAATCAACTTAATAAAATTTTATTTTTCTAAAAATAATGCATAAAACATTAAATTATTAGGATATAGAAATACATTTTAAAATTACACACTTCAGGCTGGGTGTGGTGGCTCATGCCTGTAATCCCAGCACTTTGGGAGGCTGAGGCAGGAGGATTACTTGAGGTCAGGAGTTTGAGACCAGCCTGGCCAATGTAGCAAAACCCTGTCTCTACTAAAAATATAAAAATTAGCCAGACATGGTGGCAGGCACCTGTAATCCCGGCTACTCCGGAGGCTGAGGCAGGAGAATCGCTTGAACCCCAGAGGCGGAGGCTGCAGTGAGCTGAGATCACACCACTGCACTCCAGCTCAGATGACAGGGGAAGACTCTGTCTCAAAAAATAAAATAAAACAAAACAAAATTATTCACTCTGCATATTGTTGAATTCATTCAGAATAAAAGAGATGATTTTTTAACATTTACATATGTTCATGTTGCTTTTGCTAGATGGCCATATTTGTTCCCCATACCCCCAAATCCAGTTCTTATTGGAACTTTCATTGCCAATGCTTACCAATGAAAGACCAATAAATCTACAGATATGCTTATTGTATTCTTAAAGTTGTTTACAAAATCACTAATATTTTTAATGTTTCATTCCAAATGAACAACTCTTCTCATTTCCTGAAAATATCATGAAATTAATTCTAGCCATAAATGGAGTTAAATATTTTATTAGCTGGCAGATAAATGAATTTATTGGCCTTTTGAAGATGCTTGTGATTATTTGCCATTTTCAACCCTCCATTAAAATTCCTTAATCTTCCTTCAAAATTCAGAAAAACTAAATAACCTCTGATGAAAGACTAAGGGAGAATGTCTATGCAGAAAAGGGTTTCTATTTATCCTTCAGAATTTAACAGTGTTTTTCATTATATAAACAGAAGGAGAACACATATGAAATTATATAACCTTTGAGTTGGATCACCTTTCTGAGGAACTATGCTCACTGCATGTTTTAAATATGTGCATGAAAATTTAGCAAACATTATCTCTTCTGAAAGTATTATAAGCTCTTCAGAATCAGATGGGAGTTTAGCTTTAAATGTCTGGCCAGGAGGATCCAGGGACAATGAATTATATAAAACTCATTTTATCTACACCAAATGTTGAAAGAAAAAAGTTATGCCAGAAAGTCATGAGTTAGACCACCACAGAATGGACTCTCAAATATTAGAATTTGCAGAAAATAGCATTTGGTCTGTATATAGAGTTGATTTTAGGCTACGAGGAAAAATGGGTATAATACATTCACATAAGTTTAGAATGGGGTGGGGATATAGCCTCAGAAGGATAGAGTAGTGTGTAGGCTAAAGCAACTCTGTCTTGGAAGCTAATCTGCCATGTTGGCTTCTGATTAGCCTCTGCTCCAGGAAAGCCTCTAAGATTTCCAGTTTATCTGCTGTTCTTTGTGTAAGAACAGAAACTTACTATAGATCTTGCTCTTAGATAAAACAACTTTTCTGTTATTGTGCTTCAATTGTTCCCCTCTTTTCTGATGGAAATCCACCATCTTCTCTCACACAGCCTGAGACACAGACATGGCTTTTATTGGTAAGTCCCTATTAAACATTTCTTCTGAGAAACGTTCCCAGGTGCTGATAGCTCTGGGATCTACCTTTCTGAAGAAGACTAGCTAAAGAAGTCCAGTACTAATTGGGGGTGATACCATCCCAGAGGCAGACCCCACGAAGGTATTCATAAATGGCCGGTCGCAGTGGCTCACGCTTGTAATCCCAGCACTTTGGGAGGCCAAGGCAGGTGGATCACAAGGTCAGGAGATCAAGACCATGGTGAAACCCCATCTCTACTAAAAATACAAAAAATTAGCCGGGTATGATGGCAGGCACCTGTAGTCCCAGCTACTCGGAGAGGCTGAGGCAGGAGAATGGCGTGATAGCCACTCTCTTTGGCTTCTCAGCTTTCACAGACTTTGGAGACAGGTATGCATAGGCCTGCCCACCTCAAAACAAGCAGGAACAGTGAGCCTATCAGATTAAGTTGTGGTGATCTGACTGACAGAGGAGAGGAAAGACATAAGTATGACCCAGCTCCTTATTGAAACTGAGCCCTGGCCAAATAGCTGAGTCACTGACAGCATTTCTCTCCCCTGATGCTAGTGCAGGAGAAGAGGACACAAAACGTCCTCACGAGGGTGTGGAGCCAAGATGGCTGAATAGGAACAGCTCCAGTCTACAGCTCCCAGTGTGAGCAATGCAGGAGATGGGTGATTTCTGCATTTCCAACTGAGGTACCGGGTTCATCTCACTGGGGAGTGTCAGGCAGTGGGTGCAGGACAGTGGGTGCAGCACACTGAATGTGAGCCAAAGCAGGGCGAGGCATCACCTCACCCGGGAAGTGCAAGGGGTCAGGCAATTCCCTTTCCTAGTCAAAGAAAGGGGTGAGAGATGGCACCTGGAAAATCGGGTCACTCCCACCCTAATACTGCACTTTTCCAACGGTCTTAGCAAATGGCACACCAGGAGATTATATCCAGTGCCTGGCGTGGAGGGTCCAAGGCCCACGGAACCTTGCTCATTGCTAGCACAGCAGTCTGATATCAAACTGCAAGGTGGCAGCGAGGCTGGGGGAGGGGTGCCTACGATTGCTGAGGCTTGAGTAGGTAAACAAAGCGGCCCTGAAGCTCGAACAGGGTGGAGCCCACCACAGTTCAAGGAGGCCTGCCTGCCTCTGTAGACTCCACCTCTGAGGGCAGGGCATAGACAAACAAAAGGCAGCAGAAAACTCTGCAGACTTAAATGTCCCTGTCTGACAGCTTTGAAGAGAGTAGTGGTTCTCCCAGCACATGGCTGGAGATCTGACAATGGACAGGCTGCCTCCTCAAGTGGGTCCCTGACCCCCGAGTAGCCTAACTGGGAGGCACCCCCCAGTAGGGGCAGACTGACACCTCACACAGCCAGGTACTCCTCCGAGACAAAACTTCCAGAGGAACGATCAGGCAGCAACATTTGCTGTTCACCAATATTCGCTATTTTGCAGCCTCTCCTGCTGATACCCAGGCAAAAAGTGTCTGGAGTGGACCTCCAGCAAACTCCAACAGACCTGCAGCTGAGGGTCCTGACTGTTAGAAGGAAAATTAACAAACAGAAAGGACATCCACACCAAAACCCCATCTGTACGTCACCATCATCAAAGACCAAAGGTAGATAAAACCACAAAGACAGGGAAAAAACAGAGCAGAAAAACTGGAAACTCTAAAAATCAGAACGCCTCTCCTCCTCTAAAGGAATGCAGCTCCTCACCAGCAACCAAACAAAGCTGGACGGAGAATGACTTTGACAAGTTGAGAGAAGAAGGCTTCAGACGATCAAACTACTCCAAGCTAAAGGAGGAAGTTCGAACCCATGGCAAAGAAGTTAAAAACCTTGAAAAAAAATTAGACAAATGGATAACTAGAATAACCAATGCAGGGAAGTCCTTAAAGGACCTGATGGAGCTGAAAACCATGGCACGAGAAATACATGACGAATGCAAAAGCCTCAGTAGCCAATTTGCTCAACTGGAAGAAAGGGTATCAGTGATGGAAGATCAAATGAATGAAATGAAGTGAGAAGAGAAGTTTAGAGAAAAAAGAAAAAGAACAAAGCCTCCAAGAAATATGGGACTATGTGAAAAGACCAAATCTACTTCTGATTGGTGTACCTGAAAGTGACAGGGAGAATGGAACCAAGTTGGAAAACATACTGCAGGATATTATCCAGGAGAACTTCCCCAATCTACCAAGGCAGGCCAATATTCAAATTCATGAAATACAGAGAACACCACAAAGATACTCCTCCAGAGGAGCAACTCCAAGACACTTAATTGTCAGATTCACCAAAGTTGAAATGAAGGAAAAAATGTTAAGGGCAGCCACAGAGAAAGGTCAGGTTACCCACAAAGGGAAGCCCATTAGACTAACAGCAGATCTCTTGGCAGAAACTCTACAAGCCAGAAGAGAGTGGGGGCCAATATTCAACATTCTTAAAGAAAAGAATTTTCAACCCAGAATTTCATATCCAGCCAAACTAAGCTTCAGAAGTGAAGGAGAAATAAAATACTTTACAGACAAGCAAATGCTGAGAGATTTTGTCACTACCAGGCCTGCCCTAAAAGAGCTCCTGAAGGAAGCACTAAACATGGAAAGGAACAACTGGTACCAGACACTGCAAAAACATCCCAAATTGTAAAGACCATCAAGGTTAGGAAGAAACGGCATCAACTAATGAGCAAAATAACCAGCTAACATCATAATGACAGGATCAAATTCACACATAACAATATTAACCTTAAATGTAAATGGGCTAAATGCTCCAATTAAAAGACACAGACTGGCAAATTGGATAAAGAGTCAAGACCCATCAGTATGCTGTATTCAGGAAACCCATCTCATGTGCAGAGACACACACAGGCTCAAAATAAAGGGATGGAGGAAGATCTACCAAGCAAATGGAAAACAAAAAAAAGGCAGGGGTTGCAATCCTAGTCTCTGATAAAACAGACTTTAAACCAACAAAGATCAAAAGAGACACAGAAGGCCATTACATAATGGTAAAGGGATCAATTCAACAAGAAGAGCTAACTAACCTAAACATATATGCACCCAATACAGGAGCACCCAGATTCATAAAGCAAGTCCTCAGTGACCTACAAAGAGACTTAGACTCCCATACAATAATGGGAGACTTTAACACCCCACTGTCAACATTAGATAGATCAAAGAGACAGAAAGTTAAAAAGGATATCCAGGAACTAAACTCAGCTCTGCACCAAGTGGACCTAATAGACATCTACAGAACTCCGTACCCCAAATCAACAGAATATACATTCTTTTCAGCACAACACCACACCTATTCCAAAACTGACCACATAGTTGGAAGTAAAGAACTCCTCAGCAAATGTAAAAGAACAGAAATTATAACAAACTGTCTCTCAGACCACAGTGCAATCAAACTAGAACTCAGGATTAAGAAACTCACTCAAAACCGCTCAACTACATGGAAACTGAACAACCTGCTCCTGAATGACTACTGGGTACATAACGAAATGAAGGCAGAAATAAAGATGTTCTTTGAAACCAACGAGAACAAAGATACAACATATCAGAATCTCAGGGACACATTAAAAGCAGTGTGTAGAGGGAAATTTGTAGCACTAAATGCCCACCAGAGAAAGCAGAAAATATCTAAAATTGACACCCTAACATCACAATTAAAAGAACTAGAAAAGCAAGAGCAAACACATTCAAAAGCTAGCAGAAGGCAAGAAATAACTAAGATCAGAGCAGAACTGAAGGAAATAGAGACACAAAAAACCCTTCAAAAAATCAATGATTCCAGGAGCTGGTTTTTTGAAAAGATCTACAAAATTGACAGACCGCTAACAAGACTAATAAAGAAGAAAACAGAGAAGAATCAAATACATGCAAGAAAAAATGATAAAAGGGATATCACCACCGATCCCACAGAAATACAAGCTACCATCAGAGAATACTATAAAGACCTCTACACAAATAAACTAGAAAATCTAGAAGAAATGGATAAATGCCTCCACACATACGCCCTCCCAAGACTAAACCAGGAAGAAGTTGAATCTCTGAAAAGACCAATAACAGGCTCTGAAATTGAGGCAACAATTAATAGCTTACCAACCAAAAAAAGTCCAGGACCAGATGGATTCACAGCCAAATTCTACCAGAGGTACAAGGAGGAGCTGGTACCATTCCTTCTGAAATTATTCCAATCAATAGAAAAAGAGGGAATCCTCCCTAACTCATTTTATGAGGCCAGCATCATCCTGATACCAAAGCCTGGCAGAGACACAACAAAAAAAAGAGAATTCTAGACCAATATCCCTGATGAACATCTGCAAAAATCCTCAATAAAATACTGGCAAACCAAATCCAGCAGCACATCAAAAAGCTTATCCACTATGATCAAGTGGGCTTCATCCCTGGGATGCAAGGCTGGTTCAACACACGCAAATCAATAAACATAATCCAGCATATAATCAGAACCAATGACAAAAACCATATGATTATCTCAATAGATGCAGAAAAGGCCTTTGACAAAATTCAACAACTTTCATGCTAAAAATTCTCAATAAATTAGTTATTGATGGGATGTATCTCAAAATAATCAGAGCTATCTATGACAAACCCACAGCCAATATCATACTGAATGGGCAAAAACTGGAAGCATTCCCTTTGAAAACTGGCACAAGACACGGATGCCCTCTCTCACCACTCCTATTCAACATAGTGTTGGAAGTTCTGGCCAGGGCAATCAGGCAGGAGAAGGAAATAAAAGGTATTCAATTAGGAAAAGAGGAAGTCCAATTGTCCCTGTTTGCAGATGACATGATTGTACATCTAGAAAACCCCATTGTCTCAGCCCAAAATCTCCTTAAGCTAATAGGCAACTTCAGCAAAGTCTCAGGATACAAAATCAATGTGAAAAAATCACAAGCATTCTTATACACCAATAACAGACAAACAGAGAGCCAAATCATGAGTGAATTCCCATTCACAATTGCTTCAAAGAGAATAAAATACCTAGGAATACAACTTACAAGGGATGTGAAGGACCTCTTCAAGGAGAACTACAAAACACTGCTCAATGAAATCAAAGAGGATACAAACAAATGGAAGAACATTCCATGCTCATGGGTAGGAAGAATCAATATTGTAAAAATGGCCATACTGCCCAAGGTAATTTATAGATTCAATGCCATCTCCATCAAGCTACCAATGACTTTCTTCACAGAATTGGGAAAACCTACTTTAAAGTTAGTATGGAACCAAAAAAGAGTCCGCATTGCCAAGTCAATCCTAAGCCAAAAGAACAAAGCTGGAGGCATCATGCTACCTGACTTCAAACTATACTACAAGGCTACAGTAACCAAAACAGCATGGTACTGGTACCAAAACAGAGATATAGACCAATGGAACAGAACAGAGCCCTCAGAAATAATGCCGCATATTACAACCATCTGATCTTTGACAAACCTGACAAAAACAAGAAATCAGGAAAGGATTCCCTATTTAATAAATGGTGCTGGGAAAACTGGCTGGCCATATGTAGAAAGCTGAAACTGGATCCCTTCCTTACACCTTATACAAAAATTAATTCAAGATGGATTAAAGACCTACATGTTAGACCTAAAACCATAAAAACCCTGAAGAAAACCTAGGCAATGCCATTCGGGGCATAGGCACGGGCAAGGACTTCATGTCTAAAACACCAAAAGCAATGGCAACAAAAGCCAAAATTGACAAATGGGATCTAATTAAACTAAAGAGCTTCTGCACAGCAAAAGAAACTACCATCAGAGTGAACAGGCAACCTACAGAATGGAAGAAAATTTTTGCAATCTACTCATCTGACAAAGGGCTAATATCCAGAATCTACAATGAACTCAAACAAATTTACAAGAAAAAAACAAACAACCCCATCAAAAAGTGGGTGAAGGACATGAACAGACACTTCTCAAAAGAAGACATTTATTCAGCCAAAAGACACATGAAAAAATGCTCATCATCACTGGCTATCAGGCAAATGCAAATCAAAACCACAATGAGATACCATCTCACACCAGTTAGAATGGTGATCATTAAAAAGTCAGGAAACAACAGGTGCTGGAGAGGATGTGGAGAAATAGGAACAGTTTTACACTGTTGGTGGAACTGTAAACTAGTTCAACCATTTTGGAAGTTGGTGTGGCGATTCCTCAGGGATCTAGAACTAGAAATACCATTTGACTCAGCCATCCCGTTACTGGGTATATACCCAAAGGAATATAAAACATGCTGCTATAAA
This sequence comes from Homo sapiens, assembly GCF_000001405.40. Lineage (NCBI taxonomy): Eukaryota > Metazoa > Chordata > Mammalia > Primates > Hominidae > Homo > Homo sapiens. The sequence goes on along the minus strand of NC_000018.10, from coordinate 53,255,687 downwards.
GACATGCACATGTATGTTTACTGCGGCACTATTCCCAATAGCAAAGACTTGGAACCAATCCAAATGTCCAACCATGATAGACTGGATTAAGAAAATGTGGCACATATACACCATGGAATACTATGTAGCCATAAAAAAGGATGAGTTCATGTCCTTTGTAGGGACATGGATGAAGCTGGAAACCATCATTCTAAGCAAACTATCGCAAGACAAAAAACCAAACACCACATGTTCTCACTGATAGGTGGGAAGTGAACAATGAGGACACATGGACACAGGAAGGGGAACATCACACACCATGGCCTGTTGTGGGGTGGGGGGAGGGGGGAGGGATAGCATTAGGAGATATACCTAATGTTAAATGAAGAGTTAATGGGTGCAGCACACCAACATGGTACATGTATACATATGTAACAAACCTGCATGTTGTGCACATGTACCCTAAAACTTAAAGTATAATAATAATAGAAAAAAAAACAAAAAACCTCCCCACATATCCAAGACAAGTGGACAGAAGGGCCCGAAAGGCCTGGGATTCTGATAGGAATACCCAGGAAGCTAGAAGTGAATGCTTCCCAGCTGATCCCTGGGAATATCTTGGGTGTCAACAGGAAAGCACTTTCAGACGTGGACATAATAGCTGACTCATTGTTTCCAATAGAGGAGTGGGTCAACCTGCAGTTACCTGAACAACTGGGCTAGACTAGAATAGGGCAGGGCTCTAAAGTCTTCCAATTTAGGGGGAAATGCCTGTCCTATATGTAGTCCCTAAGGTGTGTTAAATTAGGATATGTTATATGCTTTCTCTTATTGCAACAATATTACTATGTTTCATAGAAATATTGCTGATGGATGCACAGCATTAATAATCTCACAAATAATGCTTATACCTACGCATGATTCCATCTCACCCTGAGTGAGGTTTAAGACCACTTGTTTAATAAGATCCAGGACAATTCTGAACGAAAGGGGACATTCAGAATAATCACTAGAGAATTATTTTAAATGCACCTGCTAATAAACTTTCCCTAGGATCCTGCATGGGAATAGAACTGGGTGTGATGGGCTTGGCATGTATATTTTTATAGAGTGTCACACCCCTGATTAAGAACCAGTTAGGAATAGGGAAGAAGGACAAGTATTCCCAGGAATGTAGATTTCATCTTTATACTTTGAAAGAGGGATTCAATGGGACTGAAGTGGGCCCTGAATTTGCATTTTAATGGTGATTCAGGTGCTGATAGCTCTGGGTGCTGATAGCTCTGGGATCTACCTTTCTGAAGAAAACTAGCTAAAGAAGTCCAGTACAAATTGGGGTTGATACCATCCCAGAGGCAGACCCCACCCAGGTATTCATGACCACTTTAGTAATAGGCGAATCTGAAACCCATTATCTTCTTTCAAGTGTGCTGAGTGGATTCCCTACCTTTCCAGGAAAAAGTTATCATTTCAGAGCAAAGAACCATGGCAGCTTGGAGCCCTGTTGCTCAGATGACTTTTTATTTACGCTAAGAGTGAGGATATTTGCTTGATACAAAAATAAATATGGTTGTCCCCACACACATTAAATAATCATTCTTTTTTACAATGGCAGAACCCTGGAAACATCCCTTGGCTCATTAGCTTTTACAACTCTCCTGATGTTTTTGACTTCTGAGGCTATATGACACTTTATGCTAATACATTGGAGGGAAAACACACTTCATTTAATCAGGCATTGTTTAGACACCTGCCATCTAACACTGATTCCTATATACCCTTCATCACCTGTTCCAGATGAAGCATCAGTTCTCAAATTAACTCATTAGTCATGTAGAATAGCATGCATGGCTGGGAGTGGAGGAAGGGATGATTTCTTATACTAAGGTAAATAAAAATGTCATGGATTTATAATTAGTTTCAATCTAACTCCTTAAGTCTGTATGAGAGGTGTCTTAGTCTAAGAAATTTGATCCACATTTTCTTCCTGAAACTGCTACCAAGCTGGCTTTGAGAAAGCTCATGTTGTTTTCCATTTAAAAATAGAAACAATATGACATAATTGACAGAATAGTTAATTAGTGATTTTTTTTCAGAGTATTTTCAACTGCTTAGAGAAGGGCAATATTAATAAAGAGTATTGTTATAATGAGACCAAACTGGTCTATACATTATTTGAGGCGGTACGCCACTTGTTTTAGAGTTAGACATTTTCAACCTAAGAGGACATTCAGAATCACCTTTAATTGAAGCTGTGATTCTAATATTTAATACTTGAGTGGCCTTGGACAAGTTATTTAATCATGTCCTATCCTGTTCCTCATCTGCAAAATGGAGATAATAACAACTTCTACCCCATAGGGATTTTTCAGTATTAAGTAAAATAATACTTATGAAATGCTTAAAATCATGGTTGGCATAAAATAAGCTTTTAATAAATATTCACCATTAGTATAGGAAGAGGGGGTGGACGGAAACTTCAACAACACAAAGAAATATATAAAAGAAAGAGTGCTGTGTTGTTAGATTTTCAAAATATTCCGGATCCTACTGACTGTCTCGGTTTGGATCATTTACATCTGTGGTTGAATTAAGCTCATTTTTTTCATATTTATTTATGTATCTATATGTTATATTCTGACATACAATGATATTTTTGATTAATACGAAAATGGTACATGAATAAAATGAGTAATTTATCAGGAGTCAGGAAATATAAGTGCTAATCCTATTATATCATTAGCTATGTGACTTTGGAGAAGCATGTTATAATTCTATCCTTTAGTTTTCTAAACTTATTTTGTTAAAGCAAAATTACAGCATTGGATGCAGTCAAAATATATTATACAAATGCAAACTATCTCCATAAATTGTTTTGAAAATAAACATTTTTTTCCAAATTGCTCATTTAACCCAACTTAGGGCTTTAGTCTGTTCTGTTTTGATCAATAATTGGGTCTTTTATGTGCTCCGCTCTCCAGATAGACAAGTCAACATCTTGAACTCAGTGCCTTCCACTTCTCCCTTAATCTTGAACAGCCCTTCTCCTAGTTCTGAGCATAGAGTAGTAACAAGAAAGATGCTTGGTGATGGTTCACACCTCATTGTTGCTATTGCTTGGTCTAGCACAATTTCATTATTTCTCATGGAATGTTTGAATCTTCTTTAGATTGCACTAACTAGAAATTCTTAAATTGCCTTTTGGGGTTTGAAAATAAATGTGTTGTTTTGGTAATAAGTATTAAATTTAAGATATTTTTATGAAACCCAATTTGACAACTATTTTTCTGTCAACATACTGTCACATGAACCACCTAAACCCCCAGAGTGATTAAGTCTCAGTCTTTCTTTGGGGTCATTCTTTTTCTTAACTCTATTTTTATTGTGGTGTAATACTTTATTTCTATTTTATTCTGTCTCTGTATTGTAGATCGTCTAAAATCCTATGCAGTATGTAAATGAGCACATGCAAAATACATAAACACCTAAATGACATAGTATTTCAAGGGGTTTCTTGCAACAAATGAAGGTCAAATACAGAGTATAAGAGTGTGAAGCAGCGTAATTGATGTTTTTATTAGACAAAATCATTTGACTTAAATCTGACAAAATTTTCTTAGATCCTATCTTGATTGATTTTATGTTAAAAATATAGGAAACATACATGGATACATACATATTGTGGAGGATCAGACCATGCCAGAGAACATCTTCCTGGGATTATTCTAGATCCAGCCCAGTGGGGTGAAATGAAGAGACCTCAGCAGAAAAAGGTAGTGGCAACACCCTGGAAATAGTCAGTGTTTTGTGATATCCAGGGGTAAGGACAATATACGGAAGTGAAAACATGGGAGGATGCATTTATTCACCTAATTCAATATACTGAAGATGACAAGTCATGAATGATGGTGGGATATGGTGCTTCATCAATGAGCACATTTCTCTAACCACTAATGATATTCAGCATCTATTCTTCTTATTATTGGCCATTCCTATACCTATGTGGTACAGTGTCTACTTGCATGCACACACACACTCACACACGCAATTTGATAGTGCTGTATGTAACTTTTTAAAAAACCCAAAAAAGAGTATGTGATTTCAAAGAGAATCCATACTTATTCTAAATGAAAAGATTAGAATTAGATAAATGTAAGAAGACTCCATTTGAGCTGAGGTTTGAGTTACAGGTATGATTTGACAAGTTCTTGATTATTTAGCATATAAATGCACAAATCATATTTGTGTTATTGTTAGTTATATCCATAGGACATAACACAATGCTCATTTCCATTTAAATGGCTTAATTCTAATTTAAAGATAAAGAAATACAAAAGTGAGCGGAGTCCAATGTGGAATAGGTAAGAAGGTACGTTCAAAACAAAAGACAGATATTGTACAGTAGGAAAACAAGATTATGGAAAATGTTACCTTGCCAGGATAAGATGAGGCTGTTTGTAAGCATTAGGAAATCATGGTGAATTTTTAAGCGGTGAACAGACAGAATCACAGAGGTGCTTTAACAACATCTGTCAGAAAGCAGGGGTTGGGGGGAGCCGATGATAGATTCTAATAATCAGATCAGGGAATAAGACTAGAGATGATGGTGTAAGAGACGAAGGAGTCTCCATTTAAGGGAACTATAAGAGAAAGGGAGGCCACAAAGGTGATGCAAGACAGATGGAGAGAAGGACAAGAAGCCAAATATAGAAACTCATTCCAGGAAAAGGGAATGGTAAACCATGCACAACAAGGCTCATCTGTTCGGAAAGAACAGCATAGAGGTCACGGATGACCTCGATGAGAACAGGTTTAGGAAAATGATGCAGCAGAAGCCAGATAGTAGGGTTTCAGGAATCAAGGGAGATAACGGAAGTGGAGATCCTGAACATGGGTAACATTTTCAAAAATATTGCTATGAAGGAAAGAACAGAGAGTAAGCAGTTAAAGCAACTTTTTGTTAATATGGTAGACAGTTGATTACAGTCCAGTGAAAATGAGAAAAAAGCCACTGAGTGGGCAGTTAAAGATATAAGAGAGGAAAGACAATCAGAGTGAGACCCCTGAGAAATCTGTAGGAGATGGAACACAGGAGAGGAAGGACACTAGGAAGGATGTATCTTCCAGAAGCCTGTGGAAGAAAGGGGAGGAGACTAGGGGCAGATATTGCCTGTAGGTCTGGGAGCTGGGCAGACACCAGATCAGAGTGAAACAAGGCAGAGGGACCCTAGGTATAGTAAAGAAAGTCAGATTCCTTAGAGACAGCTGATTGCCAAGTCACTTGTCCTAGAGTGAAACTACAGTAGAGCTGCAACCCCAAGCACAATTCAGGGTGCAGTCATTTATCTTGATTAAAAAAGAAAACTGAAATAAACTAAAATCTCTCATTTTTTTAAATTAGTTTTTAATCTGAAATGGAAGCTTTCATGGTAAAACTTTATAATTTCCCGTGTGGAGTACAGAATCTATATAGTGAATATTTCACCTTTAAGAAATTATAGTAATAGAAGCCACTTAACCTGATCATCAGTATGTCTTAAAGCTACTTCTTGAGGGAAATTCAACTCCACCCCATTTTAAAAAAACGGAACAGTTCTCTCTTAAGGGCAGAATTGCATCAAGAGTCTGATTTTTAAGATGTATTAATGTCTTTTCAACATCATAGAGTATCTGAACTTCAGATCTTCACGAAGAGCCTTATTTTCAAATTCTGTCTTCACTCCTATCCAAAATCCAATTAAATTTGAGCAGAGTATTCTGTGATTAAAAATCCAACTTGATTTTATGACTGTAAAAATCTGATTATAAGAGAGCAACATACCTGGAAGGCATTACATTAGCTTCCTTATAAATGTCTTCAGAGATTTACAATTAATCATGATGCCATTAACTTTTATTGAAGGTTGAAATAAGTGCTGACTATATACAACCACATGGTTGCATTTTGGCTAAAATTTTCCAAGAAAGAAATCTAACAATATAATATTGTTTTTTAAAATGTGGTTCTTAGGGAACACATTTCTTTCTACTGTTACGCCTCCTATTATTCCATAGACAAGGAAAAGTATGTAATTCACTGTTTATTTTTGTCTTAGATGGTAGGCAGTTCAGAATCAAATTTGGTACAACAAATGAGTAATTAATTCTACCCCACATTTCCAGGGCAATAATATCTACTTTATCTTCATCAATTTTACACATATGTTTTAATCCCTATTTTTTTCATGAAATAGACTTCTACTACCCCGAGGTCGTAGACATAGCCCTTGATCTGTCATAAAACCCTAATTGTAAAAATGTCAAAAACACGTGACTAGATGGAACCTCTTCCATCAATATTTAGCCTGAGACTTCTCTTAGAATGGTACCCACCTAGGTCACTTTGGGGTACAACACATACATTGGCAATTTATTTTTGTTTGCTAGAAGATAGCTATAATATTTGTTTGTTCAAATAAAAAAAACACATACTTTTACTAAATGATGTAACAAAATTGACAATGTAGTGAACCAACTCTGCAAACTGTGTAAATTCCTAAAGCTCATTAAAAACTATGGGAATCCACATTACACGTTCATGCCTAGCCTGATCCAGCTGTCCTAAAGCAAGTTAAACTCAGCAGGAAAGCAGTAAAATTTCTATGCTGACATTTTTCATGTGAAAGGAATACAGACTAACTCTAGAAGGTGCCAAACAGAACCAGAGCAGTCATCCTGATTTTCCATCCACATAAGGTAAAATTGGAACTTTCAGGCAAATATATTATTTGTTCTTAAATGCCAAACAAAAATTCCCCCTAAAATACATAGTTGCCAATGTAATTGAATTATTTAGATATTTGCATTTAAAACAATTTTTGTGTTTATGTACTGACGAGAAAGAATATTGTCAATCCTTGGGGGATAATAAGGGAATAGATGATTTTACTTTCTTATTTTAAAGCCATCATCCAATTTCTCTGGCTAGAGATTTTGTATCAGGATGGTGCTTTTGATATTACATATTAGCAACTTTATTGAAACTGGCATTAAAAAACAAAGTGTTTAATTGGCTGAATGAACTGGAATTGCAGAGGTGTGGCAGGGGAATGTCACACATGACAGGAGCCAGCTCTGGCTTTCGTTCTTCGCTATTTTCCAGGCTTGGTTATCTCCTATGGAGAAGGATTGTCCTCAATCTGGCCTTCTTCATGATCACAAATTAGCTACTACCAGTTGGGAAGAAGGACAAGATGTGTTCTTGATCACTTCCAGTGGGAGAGAGTGAAAGTGGTTTTCCATTGCTACCCTCTAAAAATGGGGAAGAACTTTCCTAGGACCCTCTAGTAATCCTTTCCTTAAGTCTCATTGGCCACAGTATGCCCACAGGACCATTCTGGGGGTAATCACTGACAAAGGTTTAGGATTTCCAGAATTGTCATAAATTAATCTGGGCCCATCTCTGAATGTTCAGGTCGGGTCACCATCTTCCAACATATACATAAAGAGATGGGGGAAGAGATAGATAAATGATCAAAATAGAGCTGCTGTTAGGAAAGACAAGAGCAGGATGGCTGTTAGTCAACAAACAGTTCATATATATTTATTCTGTATTTATGGAACACCCAACATTAACCCATTTATTAATCCAGTAAACATTTATTGAGCATCTATTCCTGAACATTCCTGACATTCTGCTAAACCAAGGGATTCAAAGAGATCAGACATGGAGCAGTTAATGGGTTGACATGTATGGCTGAAAGGTCATGGGACTTGAGAAAGTCAAGAAATTATGAAACTAGAGTATTGGATGGGATGTCCACACGGATATTAAAGCACTTAGACTTAGGGCTAAAGACAGGAAAAGAATTCTGTGGCTCTGTTGAAAATAAAAAGAATTTTCTGAAGTTCAATAGACTTTAAAGGAAGCTTCAACTTCTAAGGGTAACCAAACCAAATAGACTAGTTTCCAAGCAAGAGTGGTCTCAAAAGCCCACACTCAAGAGTGTGCATTAAATCATTTGGCAAATGGTTAACTTCAAACAGTAAGAATTTTAAAAATTAACATCTATAAAAATGTATTTAATACGTTTAATAGCTACATTAAATCAATCTACATCTTTATGTGACTCCTGCTACACTCTAAACAAATAAACAAAGTATTAGCAACCATGACATTATTTTTCTCTTTAATTGTCAAAGCCTGTATTGTGCTAGAGACTCTCCTATGCTCTTTCCTATTCGTAAGAGTAAGCTATGAAAGTAGAGGAGTTTAATGTCGGTTTGTAAAAATAATCTTCACTATTTATAAGCACATATAATTTTCCTGGAAATAGCCACCTTTGCACCAAATTTTAAATACAACATTTTATGGGATGTCTAAACAATATTACTCACCACACGGTGTCTTCTTTCTGGACACTCAAGGGGGTCATATTTCTCAGCTTCCTTAGACTTAGGATCAAGAAGAATCTCACCGTATTTTGGCCAATTGAATGTGGGCAGAAGAAAAAGCCACTTCTAGGTTTCATTCTTAAAAATAACATATGACAATGTCCAATTTTTAAGTAATCTAAGGTTGTCCTCTTCCAAGTCCAAACTGTGTGTATAGTTTCATGGCTCATGATACTCTGCCATGTAGCCTTTACTTCAGTAGAAGTGTAATGCTCTATTCTCTGAGTCTTCCCAGATGCTCCCATTTCTTTGACTAGATCTCCAATGTTTCCTTTACTTAGAACACTCAAGTTCCTTGGTTCCCACCACCTTATATGAAACCCAACCATCATTTATAGGCTATACTAAAGTTCATCTTCTTTTCTAACTGCATTTAGAGCCCTAGCTTGGACTTATTTCCATGAATTCCCAACTCCAGGCAACTGTTCCATCTGCTACTGTTCAAACGCACTTTATAATACTCAGGCTTTATGTAACTAATTCGGCTATTCTACTACTAAAAACATACCATGCAATTCTACTCTCCATTCCCATGCAACTTATAGTCATTATTCATGACCTATATAAAAATCCTGCTTTGGGAAACTGTTCTTGACCAACTTGGCCTTGAAATACATTCTGAATTCTCATAGCAGTTCTGCATAAATATTTGAGTTAATAATAAATGCCCATGAGGCAACATTGTCTATGGTGTTGTACTGGTTTATTTAAATATATATATTTTTACTTTTAATTCACCTGTTTTTTTTTTCTTCACTAAGTGACTGCATTAGTCCAGATAAAATAAAGAAATATGAGCTGAGATATTTATCATTGCATTTCCTTGTTGCCTGACCCTTTCTCAGATCCAAGTAGTGATGTTCTGACAACCTCCTCCCACATACACACAAGATAGCTGAATATTTTAATATGTAAAAGATGAAATCCTAGGAAGCCAGTTAATAGTTAGGGCTATAAATATTACATTTGAAAGAAAGTGAGTAAATAGCCAGGAAACCCCTGCTTGAGAATAAAATTTGCCTCAGCTGAAATATAAATAGATTAGATTTTAATGAATCTCAAAGAAGGGTGCTAAAGCCTGGCCTCCTGACTGATTCTAAGAACAGTAGTGGCCAGTAACAGAAATCCAAAAGGTTAAGGAGAAATCTGAGAAATGAGGGGACCTATGCTTTCATCCCTGGGTAAACGTCATGATGATTGCAAGTCTCAGGGAGAACTATTCAATACCGTAAGTGTGCTCTGAGTAGCAGACATGGTGTTAGGTAGGAACCTGAGAAAGCATGACAGCTGACACCCAGGCAGACCTGTGAAGGTATCCAAAATGCTCAGCCAACTCCTGGAGTCACTCTGAGAGGCTTACAACCTGAGGTAGCCAGGGAGTCAGGATGAAGAAAATATAAACTAAACTACGAAAGCCTGACAAGTAAAACTCAAGGTATGACTGTGACCTTGACGTTTGCATAGAGATAGAAAATAAGATACTCCTTATTGCTTAAGACTGTTGAGATTTTTGTTCTTTCCAGTCTAAGGTATTCTAACTGATACACAAGGATTACTGTTAAATCTTTTGCTATTAAATCTATATTAGATATCTGTATTAGACTTGCTTAAGGAGACTGACTCCATGCCTAAAAATATACCATCGAAAGGAGAAACATTATACTCCTAGGGCCTGAATTTGAACTGTAAACCGACATATCTGATGTTTTTCTGCATCTCTCATTACTTCAAGGAAATGTATTTATTTCACCAGTGCTTACATAATTCTATTCATATGCTAGAAACAGTTCCAAGTACATTACCAACATAAGCTCATGGATACACATAAAAACTCTGTAGGGCAGGTGATGTTACTTTTCCACACATAACAAATGAGTAAACTGAGGCACAGAGCATACAGAACACAGCCTAAGGTAGTCTGTCTTCATAGTCTGTGCTTTTAACCACTAACTATGCTGCTTCTTTCTCAAACTTTATTTTATCGGACTTAGATTCCAAATAAAATTATACCTGAGTCACAATATATAAAGCAGATGACAGAGAAGCAGCTCTGATTGAAATGGGGAAGGAAGATTTGAACAAATCATAACTTCACAGGTTTCAGCTTCTTTTCTGCAAAAATATAGGGGGTGAATTAGGTGAATTCTTAGATTTCTTCTAGCATGGACTATAGTAAGATGGTATTTCTGGCATCCAAATATATGACTCTAATTACATTTTCTCATGAAACTGAGGTTCAGACAGAAGTGAGAAAATTTAAAGATCACAAGTAACTAAGCCACCACTGATGCTAATTCACATTTAGATTGAGAATATTAAAATGTTTAATCATTTAAAATGATAGGATATATTGCTTTTATCCCCTAAAGGCAGGATGAATGACTTAATATAGTATAGGCAATCTAAATTTGGGTATCTCATAGACAGTATCACACACTGTGATTCTGGGGTAAAGATAAATTAGGAATATGTAAACCAGATTCCAAATTGTGACTTCTAGCCTCTACAAAGGGACCCCAATGAACCATAGCTTTGTGTAATCCCATTCCACTTGGTGCACTCCCTCTTGAAATCCAGCTGCCATATTGTGAGAAGTCCAAGCCTCAAGGAGAGGCCACGTGGAGATAAGAGGCACATAAGTGAACAGTCCCAAATGAGTTCCCGACAAAGCCAACATCAGCTGCCAACAATGCAAGTAAGTCATCTTGTATTCTTCAGTCAAGTCAAATCCCTAGATATAGACTTTGCTTATGTCACATAAAGCAGAAGAACCACACAGCTGAACCCAGTCAACACACAAAATCACAAGTGATAATAAGTTATTGTTTTAAGCCACTAAGTTTTAAGGTGGTATGTTCCATAACAATAGATCACCAAAACATATCTGTACTAGGACACTTGGTTCAAATCCTATAAAATTATCCTGAGGATTGCATGGAGCTACTTGGTAAAAGGAACCCCATCACTGGTTTTTAACTGTAAGTCCATGCAATAACATACTGGAAGTAGAGCATCATCCCTTCTGTAGGTGATCCCTATTTTAAAGGGAAATATTTTTCAGATTTATAAAATGAAATTAAGATAATAAAGTATCAAACTTCCAGTGAAGAACATTCAGTTTTCCATGGTGGAAAGAAAAAAACTCAGTGTGACAAGAGAAAGTGAATTGAAAAATCCGTCACATCTGGTTACATCTGCTGCAGTATAATAGCCTGATATCTAATGATACAAAACTGTGTATATTATGCAGAAGCAAACTCATATTTTTCATAATCATCTGGGAACCTATCTGCTGCTTTTGATGATTGCTTAGAATTTTAGGGCATTGCATTTGTCAAGTTAAATTCTGAGGACAGTTCATAAGCTTGCTTTTTTGGCTAACGAGAAGATTTGTGTGTTGAGTTTATAAAATATTTAATAAAAAGAAAGAGAAGACTTTTATGTTTCCATTTCTTCAGAGGAATCAGCTGAATCGGGGAGTCAGATCTGTTGTTCTTAACCCTTCACTTCAGTTGAGTGACCCTGTTTTGTATACAAACATTATGTCGTTAATACTCCATGATAATCTCAGAGGTAGAGCCTGAATCCTGATGATAGTTTCCAAGCGTTCAGCAGCATTAAGTTTCCTTGCAGCTTCTTAAACCACATAATCTGCCAGCAAATTATTCTTCTTCCCAGAGAGCACTCTGAGTTTGCCAAGTTTACATCCTTTGATTAAACTAATATGGAAGCTACTGTGAACAGTTCAGAAACAAAGAGGCAACTAGTCCCTGCCTCATCTCATTTGTTAGCCTCTGGTGGGTTAGAGAATAATACTTGTCTCCTTGGTAAGCCTTTGAAATGATTTTCAATGTCTGGCACAAGGAGATCCTTAAAACGTGATTGCTAAAGACAGCAGCCAAGCACCAATTCCTTCCTGAACTCTCAGGGTTTGGATTGATATGTTTCTCAATGGTCACTTTTGAAGTGTCTTCCCAGCTGTGCTACATGATTCTTCTTCTTTAAGAAAGAGGTGTTTACTTTCTTCCCCCAGAAAATCCACAATACAGTCAGATGTTGTCTTCACACTCCTAATGAGGACCCGACTCCTTGATAGCTCAAGCGACATTTCCTTCCTTGCCAGCATCTATGCCACATAAACCAAAATAGGACTGTTTTCTCATCATTCTGCTTTTCTTTTCAATCCAGAAATGCTCACAGCTTTGAGTCACATCAGTTCAACATGTTAAAAATGTTCCTTCTTGAATCATAATCAGACAACTTTTATAGCTTTGGGGTCCTCTCACCTACCACTTATGGTACTGCCATATCTCAAAATGAGCACTGACAAGTGAGAGCTTGCACCCTGCAAGTTCACTGGCCAGATGCACAAACACACACACACACACACACACACACACACACCTACTTGTCATCATAGGTCTGGACACCTTTATCCCCTAGGGAGGATAAGGATACTTTTATTCAGTGCCTATAAAAAGTATGTGAAAGATTGGATAATGTGATACTGGCACATTTTTTTTGGAAAACTGACCCATGGTGTGTATCAGGCCTGTCCAGCATATTTTGTAGAGATGTGTAAACTCTTAATGCCAACAACAGGTTGTCATTGACAGTGGTATCCTATTACTTTCTTGCATTTATTTGGTTCTTAGATACTATCATGATAGGGTTAAATTTCATTTTCTATGTCCCCAATAAGAATAAATACTCTTTACAGGCAATGGCCTTACCTTATCATGAAGAAAGCTTACAGTAGTAGGTATCTAATATATAGTCACTGAGTAGGTCATTTTGTATATTTACCCCCTCTTCAACTTACTTGGGAAAATGGAGCAGATATCGATTGAACAAATACTATGTTTCAGATAATGTGTTAGGTGTTTTATGTATGCCAATTCATTTAGTCCTAAATGCAAATTAGAACAACTACAAAGTAATATCTTCCTGGCTGTCCCATTGGAAACTTATATCATTAAGCATATAGGTCTTTTTGTAGGTTGTTTACAGGTCTACACTAGCCAATTAGCTCTCCTTTACTTTCTAAATCAAATGTTTTAACACACTTGTCTTCCCTTGAAATTTGCAGCTGCTGTAGTTTCCCTTTGTTACCAGTGATTGATTAAGACTCAGTCTTCCTGTTTGTTCTTTACTACAAGCCCACCATTTCTTCCCTGTTTGAAAAATTTTGTTGCAACTAAAGAGAAGCAGGAAAACTTTTTAAAAAGACTGCGCATGCTTTAAGAAGTCCTCTTCTTAAGGAGATTTTGAGCTGAGACTATGGGGTTTTCTAAATATAAAATCATGTCATCTGCAAACAGGGACAATTTGACTTCCTCTTTGCCTGATTGAATACTATTACTGGAGATCTATAGGACTACCTTCTATTGAGGAGTCTGGCTTCTAGCTAAAACTCCATGTGTGATTTTCCAGACCTGGCCATGGTCAGTCAAAAAGGCTTTGCCTGGCAGATCACACAGAGGGAACCTGCCTTCCCCATACCAGACTTAGTGCGCAGCCACTGCAACCTCCAAAGGAAGTTGCAGGCAAGGACTCATTCGCCCTGGCTGGCCATGCTCTTATGCACATCTGTATTTCCAGCCCAGGCACCATCATTCAGAGGTTCTTTGTCTGGGCCTTCAAGCAGAGGTACCTCTGCCTGGTTCTCTTTATGGCGGAAGCAGAAGAAAACCTTGAAGACACTTTTCTCCACTCTCAGTGTGCAGTAATTTCCCATTCTTAGCTCTTTCCTCTCCACCTCTCCAGCCCCAGGGACCATGAAACTGCGGGAAGCTTTGGTTCAGAGCTCCCTCATCAGGGAGACAACCCCTTGTCTATGTTGGTCCACTTGACCCTCCACAGGTGCTGCTCCGTGGGGGAAAGCAGGACTGGGGAGAATGGGTGTGTTCTCTGGTTAACCTCTTCCTTGTACAATTGCAGTTCAGTGATTAAAGGCTTGACTGTCACTTTCATCTCGGCTTGTTTTCTTGATCAGCTAATGGCTACTCTGACCTGAAGCAGATCAGATTTCTCCAGCTTAGCCTAGCCCTTGACAGTCACAAATTTAAGATACCAAGCCACCTTCTCAAGCCCCACCTTTAGACTTCACCTTACACCTCCTCATCTCTCTGCCTTTGATCACTCTCATCCATTCTCCTGGAATAACATTACTTCCCAGCCTCAGGGTCAAATTGTTTATGGGAACTAAGGTCCTTTCAGAAGCTCAAAGATCTCGGTTACCAAGAAGGTAAGTAATATTGCTGAGGACTTTCCAACTCCCCAGCACATTTCAGTGGCTCTTCTGCACCAAGAGCATAGGCTAGTGCCCTAACAATACTTCTATGCATTTAAACAATATGCAAACAGTACAACAAGACTCTCTAAAAGTGAAAATGTTATCTGTAACTATTACAAATATCTGAAAAATGGATCAACTAAATGCAATCTTTTTAAAAATAGAATCTGACAAGCCAGTTTGTGAGTGTAGCCATAGCCTCAGAGAAAAATGGAAATATTAAATGATAAAAATGATAATGACAACCTCTTCTAGGTGCTGTGCATTTAGAGGCATTATCTTATTTAGTCCCAACGACAATCTCATGAGAGTTGGAACCTAGTATTAGTCTCATTTTACAGATAAGGGAAACAATGGCTAGATTGTTAATTAGCTATAAAAAGTCAAGCAAATGAAAAGAGGGACTTAATATTGAGTCTGACACCAAGACCTTTTATGCCTTGAAGATCACTTTTTAATACATTGTCTACAAATATTCCTACCTGGATAACAGGGGACAGCTCCTTCTGATCCTTCCAGTGGTAAACCCAGGATTGGTAGCTTTTATTCCTCTGCTTTTCATATATAAAATTTATTGTAACTATGACAATCACAGAGATGATTGTTGATCCCACAATTCTTGATAAGACATAAGATGAATTGAGGCAGCCTCAGAAATGGGAAAATATTCAGTGTAAGGAGTAAAGATGGAAGCTTGCTATTGACTGTTTTTGTGGCTTTTTCATTTATTTTTAAATATGAGCATGTCTATAAGTTTATCTGATTTTTCTTCCCCTTTTAAAAACATCTCCAGAAAAAAATCTAGTCTAATATAAAAGTAATTATAACTTTCATAGTAATTATAACTTTCATATTTATTCTTCTGGAAAACAGTAGAGGCATGAGTGCTTTTGATTGCATATTACACATTGGGGAAAAAGTGTTTTGTTGTTTTTTTTTTTTTTTTTTTTTTTTAACTCTAGAACTAGAATTTTGAATGTCTAAATGTTTTTTTATATTTTCTCACCATTCTCCTCTAACAAAAATAAAAAGCATTGCCTTCGTTGCTCTGCCCTTGTTCTGATTAAAATGTGTATTATGCTACCATTCTACTTATGTAGCACTTTTACATGCTAAGATAAAAGGCATGAATTATATTATCAGCCCTTGGTTATTCAAAATAAAATAATTTTTTGAATAGGCCATGTAAAATACTGTATATCATTTTGAACACCCTTGAATTGAAACCAAGAAAAATTGGAGGTCTTTTCCCACAATTCTCTGATTCCTGGGATCAAATATTAAGCATTCAAAACATTTGAATTCTTCTACTCAAGGTAGAAAATCAGTGAGGTTTTGTTTGACATTTTCAAATATTTTTCTTTGTGTTCATGTCAAAAACACCAATCAAAGGGCCCAGTGATGTAAGCCCCTGTGCACCTTTCTCTGGGTGCGTTCTCCCTCATTTCTGTCTCTGCTCCGTGAATTCACTCACCTATCAGCACAACCATCATCTCTCATCCTGGCCTTTTGTGACATGAGCTATCACTAAAGAGCTTAGAGCAGAGAATATGATTAACTGGAAACAAGGAAGAAAACTGAAGTAACTCATGGTGCAGTGACTCTGTGGTTTGAAAAACCCCAAAATGATCTACCTGGGAGGAACCATAAAGGGTTATTTCATCTTTTCTATTCTTTAGGTTTTTCTTCCCTCCAGTTTCTGTAACTATAAAATGGAGAACAGTAATGGACTTTGCTGGAGTTTTTTTTTTTTCATTTTTATTTTTTATTTATTTATTTTTATTATTATTATATTTTAAGTTCTAGGGTACATGTGCACAACGTGCAGGTTAGTTACATATGTATACACGTGCCATGTTGGTGTGCTGCACCCATTAATTCGTCACTTACATTAGGTATATCTCCTAATGCTATCCCTCCCCCCTCCCCCCACTCCACAACAGGCCCCGGTGTGTGATGTCCCCCTTCCTGTGTCCAGGTGTTCTCATTGCTCAATTCCCACCTATGAGTGAGAACATGCGATGTTTGGTTTTTTGTCCTTGCGATAGTTTGCTGGAGTTTTGTGAAGGTTAAATAATACTAGGTATGGCTAATTTACATGACACATAACAGACATTGTTCCTTTCAATAAATATTAGCTGTCTGATTGCTCTGGGTTCACTTTATGTAGGAAAATTTACCCATACAATGAGGTTCTCCTCTCCTCTTAGTATACCTGTATGACAGCATTTTTCAATTTCACTTTTACATGTTTGGCTGCTTGTCTCAGTCCTCTAGGCTCTGAGTTCCTTAGTTGCAATGATACTTCTCATACTTCTCATATATCTTTACATTTTCAGTGTTTACTAGTATTATAAGGCTTCTAAGTAAAGGGACCCCTGAAATGTGTGAGAGCTTGGACACATAAGGCTTATAAGAGCTTGGACACAAAAAGCTTATAAGAAAAAGGGACCCCTGAAATGTGTGAGTGCTTGGACAAATATCAATATCTCTGATTCTTTGTTTCTTCATCTTAAATGAAAATGGAAATATTTCAATTCTGTGTATATCATAAAACTTTATAAGGATTAATATGCATAACTAAAAGATTAATGTCTCATTGTGAACATATTTCTAAAATAGTTACAGTCTTATGGAACACAACTACCATATGTTAATGTAACATCTATCATCAATAAAGTGTTCACATTGAATAATTCTAGGAGTCATGATTCACCTAGAACCCAACACTACGTATCAGATAATAAATTAGAATATCTATTGGAAGAGTAGAATCAAGTGCAATTCTCCAAAATGTAATGCATTTCTGTGTGTCATAAGTAAAAACAGCTGTCATGAAGGAAATAATCAGCAACATATAGTAGATAAATTCAAGGAATATAAGAAACAAATTGCTTTGAACCCCTGACATCTACAAAGTTTATCCTGTGAAGGTCAAGCACAGTGCTCCATGAGATTCTTTTAGAAAGTAATAGGTTTAAAGGTTTCAAACAAATTGTGTTCTTAGGTTTTCTTGGTAAGTAATAGATTTGAAGATTAAATCTGATTCTGTGCTAAGGTCTTTGTTTTCAGGGGTGGCAAGATGATAATCTAGTTGTTTATTTAAATTGATTTTGTGACTAACACATAATTTCACAACTAGTAATGCTTAATGCCAGCAGCTCGGTTTGTCAGACATTTTTTGATGAAATAAATGTTATTTTTATTTAACTTTGTATACTCAATAATGATTTTGTAAAACAATGGGAATTATAATTTGATTTCTTTCACAAGAACTCACTTATAAATAATGTACTTTTAGATGCATTTTTTTATGGAAGGTATACTGAGTTGTCACAGAATTATTAAAACTACGCTCTAAATTGTATGTTTAGTCAGTGTGACAACTGACTAGGTTAATATAGCAAACCTGTCACTAGCTGAAAATCCAGCTGTCAACCACAAAGCAGGCACCCTGCATGAGCACTCAATATGACTACTGATTGGCTGTGACCATCAAAGATGAAAGGAATTCGAGTTAAATATTTTGAACAAATTACTTCTCTAACCCTTACTTTGTTCATCCACTAATGGAGACAATAACTACTTCACAGAATTTTTGTGAAAATTAAATTCAAATATGCCAAGATATATAAAACACTTTGCAGAATACTGGCAGATAGCAGGTACCCCAAAAACATTTAGCCTTTTTTTCTATTTTATCTCAGTCACCCACACACCCACATATTTAGCATAATGTTCTTCTATAGGCTTTGCATTGTTTAACTGTGAAGGACAATCTAATGAGCTAGATTCTACTGGGTGTCCAGATCATACATATAATGATCTCATCATACATATAATGATCATATATATAAAGATCTGTACTCTCAGTAGAATATATAATATATATATATTTGTGGAGAGTAACGGTTTTAAACATATATAAATAGTTACATTCCATTTTGGAAAAAAAAGAACCATATTAGAGTACTTAATACTGCTTGATTTCAAGATGAGCTATAAAGATATAGCAAATAAGACCACATGGTACTACCATAGGGATAAACAAATAGATCAATGGAACAGAATAAGATCCAGAAATAGACACAAATGTGCATACATATATGGTCAACTGTTTTCAAGAAAGGCACTAAATAATTCAATGAGGAAAGAGAACTCTTTTAATAAATGGTGCCGACAAAACTGGATACCTATATAAATAACCTTGGCCCCTTCCTTAATCTATACACAAAAATTAATTCAAGGTGTATCACAGACCTAAATGTAAAAGCTAGTAAAACATAGAAGAATATCTTTATACCTTGGGGTAAACAAAACTTTCTTAAGTAGATCATAAAAGGTCAAAATCAATAACTCTGACTTTAACAAAATAAAAACAGCATCTGCTCATCAAAAGACAGCATTAAAAAAGTAAAAAGGTAAGCCGCCAATTTGTATAAAATACTAACAATACCAAAGCCTCCAACTTACAGAGGTAAGCCTCCAATTTGTAGAAAATGTTAACAATACCAAAATATAATTAAAATGTTTTCCTAAAATGTGTAAAGAATTTCTACACATTGATAATTTAGAAGATTAACAATTCAACCTAAAGTAATGTGCAAAAAAGAATCTTCAAATGGTCAAATATATGAAAAAATATTCAACACTTTTAGTTATTAGAGAAATACAAATTAAAGCCACAAGGTGATGTAACTGTATACCTATTAGATTTGCTAAAATTAAGATGTCAACAAATTCCATGTGTTGGTTGGGATTGGACAACTGGAATTTCCATATACCTCTGTTGCGAATACAAAATGTTATAATCATTTAGGAAAATTATTTCTAATTAAGTAAGACATACATCTAAATTCTGATTCAGTAGTTTTACTTCTAAATATCTACACGAGACAAAGTTTATGTCCAGTAAAGCCTTTTCCAACAGTGTGGCAGCAGTTTTATCTGTAATATCCTTGAAATGGAAACAATCCAATATTCATCAAAGATGCTTTGGTGTATCCATTCAATGGAATTATACTTAACAAAAAATTTACCATAATATTAAATACCATGCATGGATCTCAGAAACATGTCAAAATAAGCCAGACACCAAAGGACAAATATTGTGTAATTCCATTTGTTTGAAGTGCTTGGAATAGGCAAATTCAGAGACAGAAAGTAGAATAGTGGTTACCAGTTTCTTAGGGAAGAGGGGAACGGCGATGTATTGTTAAAGAGGTGTAGAGTTTCTGTTTGAGATGATGAAAAAGTTCTGGAGATGGATGATGTTGATGGTTACAAAACTATGAATATACTTAACGTCAATGAATTGTACACTTAAAAACAGTTGAAATGGTAAATGTTGTGTTATGTATATTTTACTACATGTACAAAAGATAGCCAAATACCAGGTCAAAAGTGCACAGGTGGGAGAGTCCATAATTTTTTTCTGCTCTAACTGATACTTTCATAGTTTTCTCTGTCAATCTTTCCAGAAACAAACAAAAAAGAATGCTTACTTGGAAGACAAGAATCTGCAGAAAGAAATAGTGACTTATTTTTCTAGGAGTTCTTTCTTCTTGTAACTCTACTCAGACAAAAGATAAATAATTCCAAGCATCACATGTCATTCTAAAGGGTTTAAATTTTCATTAAAGTGAGACAGCAGACAGGCTTCCATGGAAATAATGTGAATTTGTGCCCACATCCAGCAGGGATAATGAGTCTTTTAATTATAAGTTATTGGGCCAAATTCAAAAAGACATGATGGGCAGGCATTAGGTAACTAAATAAAAAATAGCAATTGCATTTCTCCCCTTGCATTTTAAAGGGACAACACCTGAGAACCTCTACTTGATATTCCTTACACAATGAACCCTGTGTCATGAAGTCATTTGAAATAATGACATTTGATGCTGTGTATCCAATAACTTTAAATAACATCATTAACATTAGAATGAAAAGAATGGAAATTGGCTATCTAGAGGGCACCCATCCTCATGAGGTTTTTCAAACAAAAATTATATGACTGTCCGTTTGTGACACATATTTGTCTTGTGTAAGTGATAAAATGAATATATTTACAAGGAGGAAGAGAAGAAGAAAGGAACAAACCATCTAGTCATCAAAAGCTTCAGCTTTAAATCAATAATTACAGAACAAATTGTTACTTCTTCAAGAGATCTAGCTATTAAAAGGCATTATCACTTCACTGAGAATCCACATGTGTGTTCCTCAGTGTTTTCTTTTGATATAATCCAGAGTAAGCACTGGTTTAGGTAAAAAACTGGAGTCAGATTTCAGGTTTGTCACTAAATTGCCAAGGGATTTGGATGTGCCTATATTTTACACAGTCTTGAAAATGAGGGGCTTGGGTGATTTTATAACTAATTTTCTTTTAAACACGTGACCCTAAGTCACTGTTTAAGAGAGTGAGGGTTTTCACAGGGCCTACTTATGACTTGTGTGAGACACTGGGCCAGGGGTTGAGTGATATCTGGGGTCTTGAAGCAGAAAAAAACCTGACTGGCCAATATTTTATTTATTTATTTATTTATTTTTTTAATTTGAGACAGGGTCTTACTCTATCGCCCAGGCTGGAGTGCAGTGGTGTGATCTTACGCACTGCAACCTCTGCCTCCTGGGTTCAAGCGATTCTCCTGGCTCAGCCTCCCGAGTAGCTGGAACTACAGGTGACCAACACCACGCCCGGCTAATTTTTGTATTTTTTATTTCATTTTATTTTGAGATGGAGTTTCACTCTTGTTGCCTAGGCTGGAGTGCGATGGTGCGATTTCAGTTCACTGCAACCTCCGCCTCCCAGGTTCAAGCGATTCTCCTGCCTCAGCCTCCAGAGTAGCTGGGATTACAGGCATGCCTCACCATGCCCAGATAATTTTGTATTTTTAGTAGAGATGGTGTTTCTCCATGTTGGTCAGGCTGGTCTCGAACTCCCAACCTCAGGTGATCTGCCCTCCTCGGCCTCCCAAAGTGCTGGGACTACAGGCATGAGCCACTGCGCCTGGTCCTAATTTTTGTATTTTTAGTAGTGACAAGGTTTCACCATGTTGGCCAGGCTGATATAAAACTCCTGACCGCAGGTGATCCACCCAACTCGGCCTCCCAAAGTGCTGGGATTACAGGCTTGAGCCACTGTACCTGGCCTGGCCAATACATTTTGAGATGAGAAAGAGTGACAAACATATTTGCTTCATTCCTGTATCTCACTTTTGGTTCGAGCCTTGAACTATGCCACATAAAAAAGGTGTTTATAACAATCATGAAGTTATATAAGCAGTGGTTCACATGCTTGGTGAATTATTCACAAAGGTAACTCGGAAGAGTTTTAAGTAAAATCAGATTATAGTTTAGCAGAATAAACAGGAAGTCAAGCAGGAAAATCATTTTTCTGTTTATCACTCATTTTTGTTATGGCTTTGAATGAAAATATGATAAATATGTTGACCTTGAAACCGCAGGAAATAAGATGAAAAGGAAACCTGGAATAATTACCTAAAAAAATCGGCTTCAAATATTCTAGGGAAAAAGTGTATAGAAAGACTGAAAACTGTTTCTTGATATGATTTTAGTTTGAATGAAAATGAGCTAGATCTATCCCTGCATATTACTTGACCTTTTGGATATAGGCAAAAAAATGTGTATTTTGGGGTAAAGCAGAATATTTGAATTATTTTTGTGAATTACATGAAGAAATAGGGAGGACACTACAGGTGAATTGGATTAATAACTGGTATGATGACACATGTAAAGAACGGGAGAACGTCAACATGTAGAAAGGTTTAGTGGCTTTTTTAGGGTCATTCATATCTATGCTTTTCAGCCATTATAGGATTTTCTCCCATAGCACTGATTAGCTTGACCTTAAGAACAGGCAAGGTAGTTCATCAGGACTATATGAGATAAATGATGATAGTATAAAGGCAAAAATAAAATAAATCTTGAGGGTGCAGAATATGGTTAGTCACTTGATCAACCACAAGGTCCAGTTTTAAAAGGAGAGTGAGAAAATAAGAATAATAATACCTGGGGAAAAAAAAAAAAGAAAGGAGCAAGTTGAAAGTGTTTATGAGGCTTATCAGCTAATCAGTTTATTGAGAGCGGAGACATTAGAGATTCAGATGAACACAGGGGCTGTCATATAGGATGGTTTTGAAGTTTAAGGTTTTTAGTGAAAGTCGCTTCGAGGAGAAGAAAACAAGATTAAAATATGGCCTGGGTATGGTGGATGAAATAAAGTGGTAGAGAAGATTGCTGGAATGGTGTGTCAAATAATTGAGCCACAGAATTAGCATTTTCGATTTAGCCGGACACATTCCAGGTGTACAACTAACCTTCATTTATTGATGTTGAATAAGTGCATGAAGACACAAGGTACCCTGAGAGGTTGTAGCAGTGGGGTTAATGTAAGATAAAATGTAACAAAGATACATGAAGAGGTCTTGCATGTGAGTCAGACAGAGCCTGGCATGAAGAGAATGAAAGACATGCAGTTTGTCAGCATCATTCATGAAATACTTATAGGTTTTCATGGAAAATCAGATCCATAATAAGTCCATAAGATAATGTGACCACCCACAACATCAATGTGATTGTAGCACATCTGAATAATAATGCTGTGCTTAAGATGAGAGAGGTACTCTTAAGGGATGTCTAATAGTCACATGACATTTGCAACTATGCAGAGGAGGATGACAAGTCAAGTAGGGAGCTGACAAGCAAAGAGAAATATTTGTAGAAACTAAGAATATTTTACTTGGAGAAGAGAAGCATTGGTGGAGAGAAGGGGGAGGGGGGCCCTTGACAGACATCCCCAAATATTAAAAGTCATGCCGCAAGAGAAAGTCACTAAACTCATGAGATGTATTTATAGTCCCAGGGGAAACAATTATGACAAATGAGCAGACGTTATAGAGGGACAGAACTTTGAATATACATTTCTGAAAGTTAGACCTACATATGACAAAAATGGTTGCTTAAAGACAAAAATATCCCTGTCATTAGAAAAGTTCAAGCATGAGCTTGAAGATGACGTAAAAGGACTCAAACGTCAAATGAACTATTGGAAAATCAGACTTTTATCAGTCTTTTGGCACATATTTTGAGTCAGCAAAATAAGAATTACAGTCTAAAGATACATTTTTGGTGATTCTGTTTTTCTGTTGTGCATGCGATAAGAAGAGGCTGAAGACTGATAAAGGTAGAATGAATTAAAATTGTTAATACTGGAAAATTAATCTAACACACTGAGGATTAAATAGAATTTGTGTAACACCCACACAGTTAAAAGTTTCAATCCAATTAATACTCCCTTAAATATTATTTTCTGGGCTCTGAAAATGAGTCATCAAATGTAAAACCCAGACCTGAAATAAGTCTAGATTAACTTATTTATGAATTAATCATAAAAACAGCCTCCTCAAACTCATTATATCATTGGTCACAATCTTCTGCAAAGACAGGCAAAGAATAGCTGATTGCTTGCATTAGGTGAAGCTAGTATGTGCTGCATTGTTCAGACACTTGCTTTATTATCTATTTTACACATACAGATGTTGATAGTTATAATAAGCATAAATTTATTTTATCATTTGCTTATTATGACAGGTACCATTTTATGTATTTTATGATCATTTATGACTTTTCATCTAAAGAGCCAAGAGCACATTCAGAAATATATTTCCCAAGAATAGTACCATAACACAAATGTTTGCTTAGTTTGAACCGAATCTGATGTGACAGCATGATAGATACTTCTTCCTTTGGCTAAAAAGCATCACTTCCCATCAATGTCAGTTCCTTACAAGACCCACATGTCATAGAGTAAGTATATTTTCTTATTGTAACCTCCGACTCCTGTTGTGTGTCCCTCTGTCAAGCCATATCCCATAGGAAACTTCTTGACATCTGCGTCCTCCTCAGTCTGGAGGAAAAAATCAATTCTAAGATCAAAACTACATTCCTGGAAAATAGTCTCAGAAAAAAAAACACCAATTTTATTAAAGAAAATAATAGGCAAATCTACATATCTGCATAATACCCCAAGGAAAAGTAGACTTCAAACTGCATGATGTCACAGACTTACATCCTTCCTTCACATACATATTTCCAAAAAATCACTGAATTTACTATCAACTATAGAGAAAAATCAATCATACAGGTGAATGATTGAAACACAGTTTTCATCTAGTATTCTAAATTGAATCTCCATCTATGGAATTTGTAAATACTTTATAACTTTGAAGTGAAAATTCTTAAGGCCAGCATTTGCTCCCTTTACATATAATTCAAAGTAAGGGAAAAAATTACTAACTGGTCTAATTAGCCTATTATACTACAATTTAGACACCTTACTTTGATGATTTAAATTTCAGATTATTTAAAAATAAGGCTTCTTAAGGAATATCAGTATCTAATTTTTAAACAATAGTTACATAATAGCTGTTGACTAAATGAATCAAGAAAATTAAATTCATGAATAAATAGCTGAATGACAGACACAAGACTATACACATTATTATTTAAAATGATACGCTGGAGTCCCTTAAGGAAAGAGAACTTTGTTTTCTAACAAACATTAAAAAATTCTGATCATTTCATTTTTGAAAGGCTGAAATAATCCATCACTAATGAAATTATTTATATTCATTGCAAAGATATTATTAAAGGCACTGTGCAATTCTTCTACTTTGGGGGTATATCAAATTATATGTTAGTGTTACAGATAAAAGCATAGTTTATAGACAGTAAGCAGGATAAATGTCTATAATTAAATTTGCCAAAGTAAATGCTAAATGTGGTACTGTTGTGCAAGATGATCACTTGTATTTCACAGAAGGTGCAGAGGTGTCTCTCATTCATCAATAACAATGAAGATGGAGGAACCATTTTCTGAGCTAAACAATAAAGATGTAATCTGGAGATACTTATACACAGATTATACAGCCTCATCTTTGTAATCATCTTCATGTAAAGGAGCTTGCAAAACAAGATAGCCAGGTAGAATAATTATTTGGATCTAGTCTATTGTTATTTTTCCAAGGAATTGGAAGAAAATAAAGGCTTATAGTCTCATAACCAAATTTGTAAGATGTATGTGTTCATGCTAAAGAATTTGACCTTTCTTTTGATTTCTTCTTTTTACCTTTGCATGTTCACAGCCACAATATAATTAAGTCAGCTTTTTTCCTTTCTTTAAACTACATTTTTTTTTCCTGTGGTGTCCTAGAGCCTACAGAGGGAATTGAGAGAGATGCTTAGAAACTGGCAATCCTAGCATCCGCCCTTCTCTAGAAGTAAGCTATTAAATGTTCAAAATCTGGCTCTGTAGGTGAAAAAATCTTTAATTTGTAGCATTTGCTGAGTTCTGTGGTGCAAATACACCGAAGAAGGCCAATTTCAAGCTGCCAGCATAATGTCACTGAAAACAGAGCTGGGAGGAGATGTGTATTTTCACCCCACAGATACGATATGAATAACCTAAAGGGCATAGATAATAGTAAAATGTAGTAAAAGAATGAGGAACTGTTACATGTAACATATTTGATACATTTGCCTTTAATATAATTTGTTTAATTATAAGGCTATGTAACTGAATTTTTAATAATTGCTGTGTTTAACATAGGGCTCACAAAATTCTTAAAACATTAACAATTGATTCTTGCAAGACAGTACAACCTGGCTCCAGTACCCCATTACCCTCATCCCAAGGAGACCAATCTGTGTTTTTGCATAACTTTGCCTTTGCATATTATACCAGGATGTCACATAAATCTTTGTTTTTAAAAGATTTTATTCCATTACAAAAGTGTGGAAACCTTTTATTTAATTAGACTTTATTATAGTGGGATCTGTAGATCATCTCCCTTTATACTATTTGGACTACAATTTGAAAACACTAAGTTTCTGGCTTAAAGACCTACTGAATCAGAAGTAGCAACAGTGGTCTGGAACCATTAGGAAATGTATATTATACTCAGAGAAAATACAAGTCATAATGCTGGACATACATTTTCAACCAAGCATTATTAATTTAAATAATAAAGAAATATAAAACAATTGAACATAAATTAGTTAAGTATAGAAGAAATGTCAGATAACACTGCAACTAATAATGCACTAGAAGAGTGTGTGTTAGGGGAATAGGGAAAAATCTTTGGCATTTTAAACAAGTAACTGGTTTAAGGTATTGTTATGTTCCTTAAAGTTTGAGAACTTTAATTGGGGCCCCTCAACTTTTCCTTTCTCCAAGGTTCAGCTTCATAGACCTCTTATCTCATAAACCCCGAAATCCTTGACTATTATCAAAGTTAAGTATAGTCAGAAAATGCCCAACCTTCTCTAAATGACAGACAAGGGGAAAGTGTCTGCTACCTTTATCATAGGTAGAGAAGTTAATTCCCCATGGAAGAGCAGAAACTCTACGCAAGCCCAGGTGTTATCATATGCCAGTTGCTCACTGATTGCTGACATTCATAGAAGTGCTGAGGTTTTTTGGCTGACAAATAATTTGGAAGACTCTTACGGAGCTGAAGTGTTTAGAAAGTGACTCCTACACAGCATATATTCAATGAATATTTATCATTAAACAAACAAACTAATTAATGAAAGAAATAATCCAAGATTGTAACGGAAATAACCTTTAAATTCTTCATTGACTTTTCTCTGATAAACCTTCCAAATTAAGAGAGCATCTGGATTTTTTATTTTTTATTTTTATTTTTTTACTAACAACGTTTTCTTTAAATGCCATTATATTTGATTTCATCAAGGGAATTATCTGTATTGGCATTGAAAAGAAACACAAATGTATTTTCCTTTCTTTGAAGTATAAGAAAACAAAACCCAACTTGGAAATATTGAAATATAGGCATCTCTAGAGAAATACATGTTGATACTGTAGTCATGGACATGGAAATATATATTCTTTGCAACATTTAGACTTATCTATGCATAAAAGATAAAAATCTACAGTCAGCTTCATATTTTAAAAAGATATCAATTTTGTTTAAAGTTAGTATAAGGCATTTCTTGACATATAAATCCCTTTTGTGTGAGTCTCTTCAACTTTATCCACATAAAAATAAAATAGACAGCAATCTAGTTAATAGCTACTGCCTCTCAGCTAAAACACAAAATGGTCTGTCAAGTAGACTCCTCTGAAAGATGAGAAATGTTTAGATAAGAGGACCTTGCATTACTACAAAAAAAAGAAAGTGAAATTTCTTACTGTTTACCCTGGAACAAAGTTATTTGTAGAAGACACGGTAATTTCCACCAGTTGCATTAAGATTAGATACATAATATGTTCTTAAGTTAATTTTCTGAAGATACAGAATTGTTCCTTAATACTTTCTTTTTCCTACTATTAACATACTTCTCAATGTATCTGACAAATCCATTTGTATGCAACATACACTTTATACAAAATGCTAGGGAAACGTGAAGATGATGCTCTTAGATTCTGTCAGTTTTACATAGAGTTTTCCAGTAGACTGGGTAATGTTTTGAACAGCTTTGGAAAACTAATGGAGGCTATCATTTTCTATGTGAAAGAACAACATAATAAATGAAATAAGTGGGTTTCATTGTTGAGTGTTATTGAGTACATATATTAAGATTGTATGATGCTGGTGGACATTTGATGAGATTAAACTAAAATAACTTCCAGATAAAAATATATCAGATTCAGTTTAGTATCTAAAGAAGTTATATCTTAAAATATACTCAGATTGGCCAGACATGGTGGCTCACACCTGTAATCCCAGCACTATGGGAGGCCGAGGTGGCAGATCACGAGGTCAGTAGATTGAGACCTTCCTAGCTAACATGGTGAAAACCCATCTCTATTAAAAATACAAAAAATTAGCTAGGGTGGTGGCACTCACCTGTATTCCAGCTACTCGGGAGGCTAAGGCAGGAGAATCACTTGAACCCAGGAGGCAGAGGTTGCACTGAGTCAAGATCACACCACTGCACTCCACCCTGGGTGACAGAGCGAGACTCTGCCTCAAAAAAAAAAAAAAAAAAATATATATATATATACACACACACACACACACACAGTTACACTATTATCTGACATCTATTCTATACTTAACTAATATATATTTGGTTTAGTTTTATTTACTATTTAAGTTAATAATGACTGATTATAAAATGTATGCTCAGTTTTATGACTTGCATTTTCTCTGAATTTAATACAAATTTCCTAATGGTTGCAGAACTCTGTTGCTAAATAATCAGAGGTCGGCTTTTTTGTTTGTTTTTTGTTTTGTTTGTTTGTTTTTTTGGCCAACAACCCTTGAGGGATGAGGTAAGGCCCTTTTCAGTGGATCTCAATTTTCCCATTTAAAACTTTTAATAACAAATATATTATATAACTTGGAATTGAAGAAAAGTCAGAATTACATTCAAAAATACCCTAAGTTTTTAAGGTTGTCTACTGAAGTTTATTGAGGTATCAGTTGTGCTCTCTTAAAAACCTGCTGTCCCGCTGATGTGCTTTTTAAGTCCCATGGGGAGAAATACATAGCTTGAGGTACAGAATCTTCCATGTAGGTTCACTACAGGAAAAAAACCGAAAAGTCAGGGAAATGTGTTATTTTGGTTCCTCTTCTAGCTCTCCTTTCTCAGCACATTTTAGAACCAAAACTTTCAGTTTCCACCAACAGTTCTGATGTCTCCTAGCTGCTGATCTAGACCTTACCTTTGTCTGGGAAAAATTCCCACTGAGAACCTAAGCCACTTGAATGCAAGGCTTATTTTTGTATTCTGATTTGCATCCCTTCCCTTAGCATTGGGCCCTATCCGAAACATTGTGTCCAAATGACCAACAGCCCTGGCTGGGGCTCAAGTCCCTGTGCTGCTACTCAGCCCTTCTCTGTGTGACACTGGGGCATATTATCTCATCTCTCTAAGCCTCAGTGTTCTCTCTGTAAAATTGGGATAATAATGCAGCCCACTGGCCTTACTATTTTTCTGTTATCCATCACCACTCTGCCCCATGCCCATTTTTTTCTTCCATAGGTAGCTTAGATCCATGGGTTTTCTTTTTAATCACTCCTTTGCAAAAACTATTAATCCCCCTGACCCGTTCTTCCCTGGAAAAACATCAAACTGAATAAAACCCAGCTATCTGCCTACCCCAAGCCAGCAACTGAGCAATCAACCATGGGGAGAAAAACAAACATGATTGTGTTGGTTAGTTTCACTTTAAATTCATGACAACCAGTCTCAAATGGTCAGTCCACAGTACTCAGCAATCATAATGTCATGTATATTATGACTTCTTTTCTACAATCTGAGATAACCATTTTCCACCTTTTTCCCTGTTTTGAAATCCTCAATACTTGTTCCTCCAAGCCTTCATACTCTGATGACCTTTACTTACACTTATCGTCTCTGCAGCTCAAATTGACTAATATATCAGCATCCAGACCTGTTCTCTCTGCCTTTGCTCAACTTACCAAGATTCAATTGTCTGTGCCCATTCATTTGTATACTGGATCCTGTGTGTTCTTGCCTCCTCAAAGGATTGCATTCCTGCAATTTTCTATTCTCTCTTCTGCATCATTGCTGTGTCTCTTTTACTGCTTTATTTCTAAAAGTTGTGGTTATCTCTCATGTTCAAAAATGAAACAACAAAAATAAATGAAACAAACAATAACACCTCCCTCAAGCCTACCACCTCCTAAAGGCACTATCCATCTCTTCACTCCACTTCAGAGCAAAACTCCTCACAAATATAATCTATAGTCACTCTACTTAATCCCTTCATACTCTCTCTCGAATGTCATATCTCCCTCCCACAGTGGTCACCTTACTGACATGATTTACTGTATCTCTCATTAGTATATGACATAGTTAACAGCTCCCACCCTTTGGAAACATTCTTCCCCACCATGACATCTGTGAAATCACCCTTCCTCTTTTTATCCCTGTCATATTCCTCCTCATCTGCCCAATCTCTAAATGTTAAGTATTCCAAATTTCTGCCATATTTTTTCTAACTGTAGTCTCTCCCTAAGTGTTATCAATATGACAGTGACTCCTAAATTTATATCTCCTGGCATGACCTGTCATCAGAACTATTATCATATACCAACTTGTCTACATGATTGACATTCCTAATTGTATATTTAATAGCTATCTCGAATTCAAAATGTCCAAAAGTGATTGTCCCCTAAACCAAATCTTATCTCATTAAGTAGCTCCACAATCTGCTTACATTTTATAGCCAAAAATCTACTCTATATCCTTGATCTTGCTCTGCCTTCTGCCCTATAATCCAATAACCAATTTTGTTGGCTCTAGATCCAGCACAGACCCTGATTGTTTCTACTTCCCTCTCCATCACCTCCTATGACTCCTAGGTTCCTGCTACATGATCTCACATGGAGCACTTGGTTGTCTCTGAACTGGTCTTCCTGCTTCCTCTACGTTCCACCCCCTGATAATTTTCCCACAGTAGTCAGTGTAATTCTTAAAAAAGGTGAATCTGATTACTCTCCTTTCAATATGCTTTTCATTGTCCATAGAATGAAATCCCAACTTTTATCACACCCTACAAAGCCCCGCCAGATCTGGCCGGAACCCAGCAATCCGTCTTCTATTCTATTCTCATTTCAGCTTCACAGTCATGCAAAGATAGTTCCCTCCTTACTGCTTTTGCCCTAGTTGTTGGCATCACTTGAAATATGTTACTCTGAGTGTGCACAAAGCTGATCCTTTTCTATTCACGCCTCAGCTCATCTCCTTAAGAGTTCCTTCCCTGACAATCTGATTTAAATGAGGTCCTCAAATTCTATCGCATGACTGTTCTTGATTTTCTTCACAGAACTTACCACTCCCTTGTGTCAATTGTTAATTTGTTTATTAGTCTATTTCCATGTATTAGAATATAAGTAAGCTCTAGAAAAGAAGGCATTTGATTGCTTTTGTTATAGCCTTTCCAGCAACAAGCACAGTTCAAAATTGGTATTTCAGAATTAGTTTTATAATATCTTATAGGATTATTAAAAGCAATAAATGAAATTCTGCTTTCATTGCTTAGCACATTGCCAGGCACAAAATACCTTTGGGAAAGGTTACTGCCATTATTACAGTTATAATTAGGTATTCATTGAATGTGTGTCTAGAATATTGACTAAAATAGCTCGTGTTAATGTGTTAAATCTTTCAATAAAGTGCTTGCATTTTAAAAGTTGTTTTATAATATAAATAACATTCAAAACTATACTACTGAATAAAGTTTTTGCACATGGGTGAATGGTTCAACATCTTTAAAATCAAATCACATAGTTAGCAACTGCTTTTACCTACTGGTAGGGCTGAACTTATTCATGTCTTCTAACTAATCAACCATTCCAACTATAAGGGCAACTTCCATGAACTAAATTAAAATCAGAGACCTTATCACTAGACCTAGGTTCATTTAATTTAAGCCCATTATTAAACCTCCCACTTTTCAAAAATGTATGACTTGAGGGAAATCTCATTAAACTTCATGGAAAGGCTAAAGTGAGCTTTGCCTTCAGAGCCAAGCAGAAATGGAGCCATTAGAAATGTGTGTGATGAAGTATAAATTATAAGGTAATATTAAAGTGAGGCTAGAACTCAAAAGAGAATGGTATTCTATCATATATTTTAATCTCTTTTTGTCAAAATCCTTTGTGCAAGTATACTCAATGGCAGTGACTGCAATAAATTGGAAAAGACAAAAATATAACATTCTCAAAACACAACAGAAAAATGATGTATTTTATGTATATGAAATATGAAAGATGAGAAAAGTCTAGAAAATGTTTTCCTAAGTCCTATTTACATTAATAAAAATTCATATTGACATGGAGATTTAATCATGTCTCTAACTTATTCAAATCTTCTAACAGATGTCACAGAAGGTTCTCAATATCCTATTCTAGTTATGCATAAATGTCCTTTATAACTATTCCTTGATTCACTTCTGCTTTCCATAAATTTATTTTTTCACTTAATATATATTATTATTTTAAATTAATTGAGATAAGAAGGTATTTTTGGAGGAAGATGAGGTTCTTCAATTTATGGAGTACATTGTTCTCATTTGTAATGTTACAATGACATTAAGTAACTTTGACAGAGTTTTAAAGGCTGTATTTCATCTAAAATGTTTTTGTAGAAAAAACAATTGGTAAAAAAGCTGAGTTAAACAAATACTTCTCATAGCCTTTAATATCTCCAATAGGAAACCTCACATATTTCTCACAATTTTTTAAGCCATAGCAACCTTGTTTCTTGGGAAAGTACCATAGGCCGGGCGTGGTGGTTCACGCCTGTAATCTTAGCATTTTGGGAGGCCGAGGCGGGCAGATCACGAGGTCAGGAATTCAAGACCAGCCTGGACAATATGGTGAAACCCCGTCTCTACTAAAAAAAAGTAAAAAATTAGCCAGGCATGGTGGCACACGCCTGTAGTCCCAGCTACTCAGGAGGCTGAGACAGAAGAATTGCTTGAACCCAGAAGGCAGAGGTTGCAGTGAGCTGAGATCACACCACTGCACTGCAGCCTGGGTGACAGAGCAAGACTCCATTTCAAAAAAAAAAAAAAAAAAAGAAAAAAGAAAAAGAAAAAAGAAAA
Organism: Homo sapiens; assembly: GCF_000001405.40. Taxonomy (NCBI): domain Eukaryota; kingdom Metazoa; phylum Chordata; class Mammalia; order Primates; family Hominidae; genus Homo; species Homo sapiens. The sequence continues at coordinate 53,222,358 of NC_000018.10, read as the reverse complement.
AGGTAAGTATTCTCTCAAATAGACTTTAGGAAGGGCTGCTCTGAGAAAATGAGTGATAGTGTAATACAAAGATATGCTTTGAATTTGCAAATTTGCAGAGTATTCTTTTATTCAACTTAATTACAGAAAGCAGTTAAGTTGGAATGATGCATTTATGTTGTTTAAAAACTAGTTATCCAATAATTTACTATTTTATTATTCCTCTAATTCATGGTTGATCTTTATTCATTGACTGTAATTTCACTGAAAAAAGACGTAAACTGTTGAGTTTTTGGAACTTCAAAAAAAGTCTAAGAATCAATTTAGCAACTGGTCAGGAGCTCTGGTCTAAATTCTGATGGAATATGAGACAAAATTATGTCTTTTACAGTTTCTTTGGAACAATCCTATGTTTATGTTTCTGGTTTCCTCTTATTAAATATGACAGTTGGCTTTTTCAGCAGATTTTCTAAAAACAATTTATAAATGTGGAATTTTGGAACAGAAGTATTCTGAAAGCACTGACAATAATGGGAAGTGAGGCATCTCTTCCTAGCCAATTAAAGCATCTGTCTGTATTCTTGACCACTGATTCATTAAGTTTTTCATTTCTCTATAAGAAAGGGGATCTAAAAATGGAAAACTGTTTTATTTCTCAATTAAATGAAGCAAAAGGGAAATTAATTTTTTTATGAATTGGTTTCTTTGCTCATTTATAAAGTAAGTTGGGATACAAAAAGTAAAATAGTCGTTGCCAGGGATTCTGTAATTGGGTAGAACTCATCTTCCCAAACTAAAACTTAGTATCTATTCACCAATAACTCCCCATTTTCTCTCACATTCCCACATAAGGAATGTGATCCAGAATTTGCCTTCATGGAGCTCACAGTTGGGTAAGAAAACATGTGAAAGAACGTTCACTTTTCATCTAGCCACACTTAATCTGTTGCAGCCTTTCAAAGTTGACATTATTTTCTCATTGATAAAATGAGACGGCTGGATAGAGAATGTCTAAAATCTCGTGGCTTCAAACATCTATGACTGTGTGGGGAAATGGGGACTTACTGGTGAATAGATACTAAGTTTTAGTTTGGGAAGATGGAAAATATTCTAGAGATGGAAGCTGGTGATAGATGTACAACAATGTGAATGTACTTACCACATTTAAACTGCACATTTACAAATGCTTAAATTTGTATTTAATTTAAAAAATTAAATTAAATTAAAAAATGGTAAATTTTATATAAAGTTGTTTCACCACAATAAAAAAGGATCTATTAAGTAAAAAGACAGGATGGAAGAGATCTGAAGATGAGTTCTACCCAAATTATAGACCAAACACAATCTTATCCTTAAGGGAGTCTCACAGATTCTTACAAATTATCTGATTCTTATGTAATATAATCATTTATATCCAGTCTAGTCTTTCCTACAAATTCCAAACAGAAAGACTAGACTGTAAGAGCCCCCAGGAAATATTGCCTTCCTTACAATTATGCTCCTACTCCCCACCCTTCCTAAAACTTTCAATCATAGGCCCCTGGACATTATCTATGCTTAAAAATCACCATGTAATGAATAGATGAAGGAATCAATAACTAAAATAAATATAAGAGATCTACACCTACTTGAATTAAATGGATGGATAACTAGGGCAAATACTATGCTCAGGCAGAAATGCTCTGTGTTATGATTGAGGACAAGTGTCATTGTTAAGCTTGTGAGAGTCAACATTGTTGTATTTAAATTGTTCATTAATAAGCAAATGCTGGTTCTAGTTTATCTTTAAATAAATACAATCATCTGCAGTCTCATATATATCCTCTTTCTCTTCACTAAATCCATTTTTTAAACCTACTACATTTGTGAGGAGAGGGCTCAGAGCTCTGGGTCCAGGAACTCAGCAGCCAAAGTGTATTTTATAAAGGACTTAGGGAGACATGAAGAAGCATGTTTTTCCATGGGCTGCCTGAGGCCTATGACTCCATACAACATACAGGAGAGAAATGAACGTTGACTAGAAGAATGGTGAAAGCAGAGAAGTGGGTCCAGACCCCTTTTCTAAAAGTATGTTTTCAGAGAGATTGTCACGCAGCAGGGAGGTGTGTGAACTGAAACCCCTTCTGAATAACCAAGAGAAGATAACCCCAATTTCAGAAAAAAACAAAACAAAACTGAATACACACATACACATACCCCAGACACAGAGGATCTGCAATTTAATATCATAACTCACATTTTTTCCTTGCCTCCAGCTTTTCCCCATCTCCTCCCTTCCCACTAGGAGTCATATGCAAATGACTCACTCAGCCACCCACTTGGCTATGGACTTGGCTAATAAGAGAAGCAACACCAGCCCAATGACAGGGTATAGAGACTTCCATCAAAATCCAACAAGTTGCACCACATCCTCAAAAGCATGTCCTTCTGCAGTTATCCCATAATACACTTAGATTTCCTCTGTCTTGTTACACACAAACACACACAAAGAATGTTAAAATATCTGTTAAAAATGATCAGTTTGCTTTGCAGAGTAGAAACTTGCTGTTCTCCTACTGTATAGTTTTTGCATAAAGGAAATCATATGATTGCTGAACTCAGGCTTGAGTTATTTAAGCATGCCAAGTTGTGCTGAAACAAGGGAGAGTGAGACACTTTAAGACGTAGGAAGGCACTAGAAACTTTTTCTTCGGTTGCTTTGAAGGCACCATGTACAATATCAGATTGTGAGTGACTGAGTACCAGCTTTTAGGAATGCAACAAAAAGACATTCACATAGATGCATCTGGTGTTCAAGAATAAGGATTTCAACAGCAGAGAGGTGTGAGGTGATATAATGAGAGGAATCCATCAATTTGCATTTAAAAATTTAAATCTGAACAATGATCTATGCCTCATAATATACTGGGGTTTTGGGGGGAAAGGGGAGTTAATACTTCATTCCTTGCAATCACTCTGTAGTGCTCAGTCAATATATATCTGAACTAGTGAGTTGACTGGTATACTGAAATTGATTTGTGTTTTCGCTAATTCTTTAACAGTAAAATGGTTGAGAAAAGGTATAATGGTTAGAAACACAGGCACAGATGTTTGAAGCCACAGGAGATTTTAGAGATTCTCTATCCAGCTCTCTCATTTTAAAATGAGAAAATAATGTCAACTTTGAAAGGTTCAACAGATTAAAGTGGCTAGAGGAACAGTGAATGTTCTTTCACGTTTTCCTACCCAACTGTGAGCTGCATGAAGGCAAATTCTAGATCACATTCCTTATTATGTATGACATTAAAACAGGTACAGAGTAAGTGTTGAATAAATAAAACTGAGACACGTGACTTTTCACAGGTTCAAAGAGTTAATAAAAGGACCCAAGCAACTTGAATTCTATCATCCTCTAAACATTATTACTCATCAGAACTTTTAGATTGAAACATAGGGAAGTATTAATATTTGTGCCCCAACATTAGCTCTCTGCATTCTGTAAATGTATCCTTTATGTTCCAGCCAACTAATTAAGTTGTAGTATGTATTTGAAATATATAATAACTGAATCAATAATAATTGAATAATAATTGAATTTCAAATTAAATTCTTAAGGAAATTATTCTTATAAAAAGTTTTCCTAATAAAACGTAACATTTTAAAGTCCATTTCATAAACCATTATCTTTTTCTGGAAAAGATACTATTTCTTGTAACAAAATTTTAGTATGAGAAATAACCACCTCACTATGACCCAGTTTCACCTGACATGTAACATGTGTAAGTCAAGCCATTAGTACAACAAAAAACTTGTGTTCATAGTTAGCTTGTAGAAAAGGAATCTAATCTGTTCTGCTATTACAGCTTTGTAAAAATATTCTACCATACTGGGTTTTCAAGAATGATACAGTAAGAGAATTTTGTTCTTAGTTTCATTATCTAGATGTGTAAAGACTTCTCTGCTTAATTATTATGGAACATGATTTCTGGGTCCAACTGGCTTACGGGTGACCAAAACCTTAACGAGTACCTAGATTGTGATCATATGTCTTATAACAACCCCTCAGTTTTATGTACAGAGATCCTAATAATCTTTCTGCAAAAATGTTAGTTGCACCAAGTTATTTCATTTACTATCAATAAAAAAATCAATTGTGCTCTATATTTACAAATATGATATAGAATACGTTTTCAAAGTGTGTTCTCTTCCATCTTAAAATCCCAAGTAAAATAAATTACGTAAAAAATTCATGAATTGAGCATGGTCACTCATGCCTGTAATCTCAGCACTTTGTGAGACCAAGGTGGGAGGATAGCTTGAGGTCAGGACTTTGATACCAGCCTAGGGAACATAATGAGACCCTGTCTTTCAAAAAACACAAAAATAAATTAGTCAGTCATGGTGGTTGCATGCCTGTAGTACCAGCTATGCTAGAGTCTGAGTCAAGAGGATCACTTGAGCCTAAGAGTCCAAGATTGCAGTAAGTCATGGTTGTGTCACTGCACTCCAACCTGGGCAACAAAGAAAGACCTTGTCTCTAAAGAATAAAAAAAATAAAAACACCCTGGAATTCTGTTAGTATTAAAAAAGAACACATTATTTATTCAACTATAATGTTTCTTTTTAAATACAGTTTGCCCCTTGAAATGGTCACAGTCAGGGGTAAATATTAATATATTTTAAAACTTTTCATCTATTTCAAATAAAACACAAATATCAAAATAGAATATTACATTTGCCTTTGTCTGAATCAATACACTGAGAATGCAAAAAGTGGTGTTTTGATCATCCAGTTTCTTTTCTCTTGAAAACAGTCTGATATAAAAATTTATAATTCATAATTTCTTAGAAGCTATGAAATAAGATCAGAGAGAGAAAAAGGAGAGAGGGAGTGTGACTTTCCAGTGCCTGGGCATAGTATTTTCATTCTGAAAAGCGAATGAACAATTTAAACTTTCTAGCAGTGCAATGTTCCAGATATCAACTACAAGAGGATAGAAGTAGAAGTGTTTGTATTTGCTTGCTGCAAGCAAGCAAATTAGAGAAGAGTAGAAGCTGTGATATTTGTGTGTGTGTGTGTGTGTGTGTGTATATACATATGTGTGTGTGTGTGTGTGTGTGTGTGTGTGTGTGTGTGTATAATATATATAGTCAATTTTGCAATCCAGGAATTCCGTCTTCAGTAAAGTACATCCATATTCAAATACAGTTAGCATCCAGGGTCATTCAGTAATGCCCTATACACGTTTCAAGTGAAAACATTCATCTTTTCCTGGAGTACACTCTTAAAGGGTATGAACACACAAACACAAAATAGCTTGTATATCAATTTCTATATTCTGTCCTGGAGGAAAAACATAAAGTGAGTGAGGATTCTAACAATGATGAATTGTTAAACAAGAGACATTACAATATGTTTTCCAAATTTCATTCATTAACAACATACAATAATTGTAAAAATCTACTTGACTTTGACTTGGCAATCTCTTAATTTAAGTGGCACATCTCTAAAGCAGTGTTGTTGCAGATAAAAATGTCATTTGTAGGGTTATGTTAATTTTTGATTATTTTCCTTTAGCTCATTTTTTCCACTAAGTTTAGTTATTTTCTTCTAATTTTATGTTTGCTTTAATAGTTCTTATCCAACATATTGCCTAAAAGTATAAGAGAATAATGCATTCACTTGCTTCAAAAGATAAATTCATTTGACTGAGACAAATCCAATTAACATCACAAGATATGGCTTCCTCATAGATTTTTTACAAAATATGACAAGGCATTTGCACATGGAATGAAGGAATCACTATCAAGTCAGATTCATCGCATACATTTTACTATTACTTTCTCATGATAAGTCAATAAGGAAGATAGTAATTCTTAGGATACTTAAACATAGAAAGAGGTTTGCTAAGGTTGAAAACTTTGCTAAGACCAAATAGTTATGAAAAGAGAAAGCTAGATTTAAAACCCAGAGTATGACTTTTTCTAAGACCTGTATCATTTCTCTGCTGTCTCCCAGAGCTTAGAAATCATTTAGGCCAATTTCCTCACATGAGAAGTACCTAACTGGAGGTCCAAGCATAGTGGCCAGGTGGTGACAGGGTCAAACCAGGTGAATCCTCATTTGTTATACTCTACTAGGTGGCCTTGGCTTATTTCCAACCCTGAGTCACTTGAAATAATGACATGTTTCTAGAAAACTGACCTCTGGCATTAGGCTACTTCAGCAATACTAGCCTAAGTTGAGCTCCTTTGGAAGTCATAGCAACATTCCAGGCCAGGAAAGTTCTAACAACTAGGTAACATCGCTACATAAATATAACTGTATTGAAGTTCAAGAATGGCCTTCAATGACTACATTTATAAAGGAAGAATGGGGATGATGACGAAATATTCAATTCTAAGTAATGTGTTAGGAAACAGTCTTTCTTTCTCCTAATTATTTCAATTTCCTCATCTAGCACATCATCATTGCTATATGATAGACTGGTGAATATAGACGAAGCAGATGTCTTTGTTTCCTTATGGAATAGCCTTTGGCCACTAAAACATTCACAAAATCAATGTTTGTTTAATATTTGTAAATCAAAATATTTGTTTAGAAGTAGACAAATATTTCATTTAATTTACTTAAGTCTGATGGAAGAGGATGTGGGATCAATGTCACTTGCTGTGTTGTTCCAGAACATTTCTGCACATGGAAGCCACTATCCTGTACTCAAGACAGCAGTTGGGTGAGTGAAGGTTATACATGATAGGTAATCTTGATAGGTAATGGAGTAGTGAACATTTAGCCAACTTACTCTTGAATTGACCACTTCCAGGGAGACGTTCTGAGGCGGGGCACTTGGCACTAAAAGGAATCAAACAAATTGTCACAGTTACTGCCAAAATCTTGAAAGAAAAATACCACCTGTCTAGTAAAAAGAGAGTGTGGTTTTGTTTATATAGTTTATAATGATAATTAGGTAGGTTAACCCAGGTAGTACTTCAAAAATTTTTGGAGAGATGAAAAATAACTGTATTTGTCTATTTTTTTTTTCTCATTTCGCTAGCCAGTTAACTTACCTATGTAGGGAGCCCCTAAAACTGTTACGCAAGAGAACGCGGGCAGTGATACCAAACACCACCATTTAATTACAGCCCTCTTGTGATAACTTTCCCAGAGAAACCAATAAAAACACACAGGAGATTTCTTACAGTAGTTTTAAAGGCTTAAGATATTGCGCATTTCAGAATCTGCATAATTTTATGATAAAATTTGTCATTCTAATGGTCAGCCAGGTTTCTTAATCCCTGTAATGCAAACTTTATTAGCTCTTAAAAAGTGAAAAGAAGAAATACTTCTCAGTTCTTTTAGCTGTGTAAAATTAAACCTTATGTGATAAATACAAGCAGGTTGCAAATAGCACTTGATGAGTCAATTCTATTAGCAAAGCAGCAGTATATTTTTCTTTGTAGAGTTTCTAGGTACGGTATTTTGTTTTTCTTGCCTACATTTTTATTTAACTACTCCTTTATAGAAGGAAGAACATATACAGCTCTCTTTTAATACTTATAATAAATATTTACTCTACCAAAAAAGTGAATATTCTATCATGTGAGTAATTTAAAAACAACCACTTATTGAATGGCTTTTATGTGTCAGGAACTACTCTAGATGTCTGGGATGAAAAATAAATGAAATAAAGCTTTTTGCCCCATAATAGGAATAGAAGTAGCATTCAATAAATTGTTAACACATATTAATCTATAAAGTGAGTAGTCCCTATCCTTGTTCCTCACAAATAGATGAGTTTAATAGAAAAGTTCTCAGGCATTTTCAAGAATCTAAGGGCCATTTTTGACATCTTTCCCCTTCTTTTACTAGAATTTGGAAAAAAATCTATGTTTTTCTATAGAGTACTTACATCTGACCATGAATTTATTTATGCCATACTCTGAATTTATCTTCTAAATAGTAATTATCATGAAGACATGATGTGCCACCGATTAATCTTTTATCTTCCAAACTGACATTCAATTAATATTTACTGAATTAATGATTGAATGAGCAAATGAGTACTTACTTATATAGTTCTAGACCTTTCTGGGAATAACAGAAAATGAAATCTTTTTTTTTTATTTTGATTTTGAACTTCTGATCTTAGTGCCTGATGAAGGTTGCAGCCAGTGTAGTTTCTGACAAAATGCTCATCTGCTTGTTTTTCATGAATTAACTCAGCAAGTATTCTTTCAAAAATATTCCACAATTTATAAAATGTTATTTAATTTTTTGAGATTCTTATTCTGATTTTAAAATTAAATACAGAATGTAACCCCAATAAGGAAAAAGATATTTATTCATTTTGATGTTGTATCACCAGTATCAGGAAGAGTTGAAGGCACATGGTGTACACTCAGTAAATAGTTGCTGAATAAATATATTAATAAAAAGTTTATAAATTATAATAAAAATGGTTCCATATTCAGGGTTTGGTCCCAAGTTTTGTTTTGTAAATTTTTAAGTTAAAGTATAAATTGTACTTGTATTATTATTTAATCTATTCTAAACGTTATAATTATTGACATAAAAATTACAATTTAGTTTTTTAAATTGAAGTACTATTTGTAGAATAAAATAACATGCTCTATATCATATAATTTCACAAACTTCCAAAAATGTTATCCTTTAAAAGCAAAGTTTGGAAATAATGTCTTAATATTAAGTGATATTGAGTCACTTCTTTTTTTTTTTTTTTTTTTTTTTTTTTGAGACGGAGTCTCGCTCTGTCACCCAGGCTGGAGTGCAGTGGCACGATCTCAGCTCACTGCAACCTTCGTCTCCCGGGTTCACACCATTCTCCTGCCTCAGCCTCCCAAGTAGCTGGGACTACAGGTGCCCACCACCACGCCCAGTTAACTTTTGCACTTTTAGTAGAGACGGGGTTTCACCATGTTGGTCAGGCTGGTCTCAAACTCCTGACCTCGTGATCCACCCGCCTCGGCCTCCCAAAGTGCTGGGATTACAGGAGTGAGCCACTACGCCCGGCCGAGTCACTTCTTAAACATGAAAGAATATTTCTAGTTTATATTTAATGTTGTAATACTGACATGTCATGCTATATGTTTCTAATAATATTACACTAACTTTTTGATCAATTAGTATCCAAACATAATATCAATTACTAACTGAATTTTTGATAGATAATTGAATTTTGGAAGAAAGAGAAGGTAACATTTATCATGTGTTTTGTTGTAGGTACTGTTCTAGCTGATATGCAACCCTTAAATGTCACTTTCATTTGAGTTTACAAGTGGCATTTAACTCCTTATTTCTAGAAAGCCAAGAAAACTTTAAGAGGATAGATATATATGTGTTCTTTTTTCTGTAGCTACCACAATTTTATAAGCATCAGGGCTGTTTTCTGTATTAAGAATTGAAAGGCAGGCTGGGCATGGTGGCTCACACCTGTAATCCCAGCACTTTGGGAGCCCGAGGGAGGTGGCTCACTTGAGGTCAGGAGTTCGAGACCAGCTTGGCAAATAAGGTGAAAATCTATCTCTATTAAAAATACAAAAAATTAGCCTGGCGTGTGGGTACACTCATGTAGTCCCAGCTACTCCAGAGGTTGAGGCAGGAGAATCACTTGAACCTGGGAGGTGGAGGCTGCAGTGAGCTGAGATTGTGCCACTGCACTCCACCCTGGGCAAGACAGTGAGACTCTGTCTCAAAAAAAAAGAAAAAAAAAAAACAAGAATTGAAAGGCAATAAAATACAATTCTGCTAAAAGTCCTTTTGTAATGGTATTGAAGTAGTTTTTCTGTATTTTTTTACAGTGCACATTTCTTCTCTAACTTTCCACTGATAGCACACTGGCTATTGTTGTCATGTCAGGGAGGAGAGTAGAGAATTTTTTCTACAGTATTTTTAGTGATCAGTTCCTACTCCCTCCTTCTCACTATCAATTTCCATATTATTTGGAGATAGATAGATACAATAGATGCTAGGGCTAGGTGAAAGTGAAGAGAATCCATATCGATTGTTCTTTTCTATATTTGTCTTCCCAAGACGCTTCTTGTTTCATGAGGCAGAAGTGAAAGAACACTTTTCTCTTCAAAATGTCAAATAATTTATTATTTATAATAAATAGGTCCATTCAAGCCAATGAGAGGTGGGGCTGGAAACTTCCCTCAATATGGAGAAGGATGTTGGCTTGAAACTCATGGAGATGAGGTATTTTGTAGGACAGATCAAGTCCCCATAATTGTAAATGAGTCTCCCAAGGCACAGGCACTTGAATTCCTCCCCTCAGCAAATGTATGCTGCCATGTACACAGAATTTATAGACCAAAATAATTCTAATTTATTTTGAGACAGAATTTCTCTCTGTTGCCCAGGCTGGAATGCAGTGGTGTGATCTAGGCTCACTGCAACCTCCGCCTCCCAGGTACAAGTGATTCTCCTGCCTCAGCCTTCCGAGTAGCTGGGGTAACAGGTGTGCACCACCATACCTGGCTAACTTTTAAATTTTTATTGGAGACAGAATTTCACTATGTTGGCCAGACTGTTCTCGAACTTCTGGCCTCAAGTGATCTACCCACCTCAGCTTCCCAAAGTTCTGGGATTACAAGTGTAATTACTGCCCAGCAGTAATTCATATTTATTTTATATTTATTTTATTTTATTTTATTTTTGAGACAGAGTCTCGCTCTGTCACCCAGGCTGCAGTGCAGAGGCACGATCTCGGCTCACTGCAAGCTCCACCTCCTGGGTTCACGCCATTCTCCTGCCTCAGCCTCCCGAGTAGCTGGGACTACAGGCGCCCGCCACCACGCCCAGCTAATTCTTTGGTATTTTTAGTAGAGAGTGGGTTTCACCATGTTAGCCAGGATGCTTTAGATCTCCTGACCTTGTGATCTGCCCGCCTGGGCCTCCCACAGTGCTGGGATTACAAGAGTGAGCCACCATGCCTGGCCAGTAATTCATATTTAATTATAAGCATTTTCCTTTAAAGGCACTTATCATAGAATAAAAGAAACATGTTTCCACAATGAATCTTGCCTCTGAATTTACTAGCTTATGTGGTCTGGCTCTGCTGCTTACTACCTGTTGTGAACTCTTTCTGACTTAGTTTTGTCATCTGTAAAGTAGGGAAAATTTTAGTAGTATCGTGAGGATGAAAGGTAAAGGCAAAGTACTTGGATCAGGGCCTTCCATTAGTAAGTATTCAAGAAATATTAATAACATTCATAAAAATAATAAGCACATTCTTATGTTGCCTATGAAATCAGGTCCTTCTGCATTTGGACACAGGACAAGCTGGCATGGAAACTTTCAATGGTTCATTCGTTCATAAAAGCTCTTAGTGACTTACCAACTAGTGCAAGAGACAGTATTTTGGAACAAATTGGCAAAATTATTTAGATGATCATATGCTGTATAATCTCAGTGGTGTGAAAAAAAAATGGCTCATTGTAAACCAGTGGTTTTCTAGGTGGAGGAATTTGAATAAAAAATAAGGTTTCTACTCAGAAAATAAAGCCGAGCTAAATTAGAGATGACAGCTCATCTGGACAAAGATCTTTACAAGCATCCCAGTAGAACAGGGAAAAAAAAACATAAAGTAATGAAATTGGAAGAAATGTATTTACACTTAACTTTTGCTTTTTTAAAAATTTTTCTATGTCTCAATATATTTTTTATGGTAAGACTCCTGATATGAAAAGAATTATTATGTTCACTATAATACAGATGCATTTAGACACAGTCATATATTAAATTAATATATCAAATTAGTTCCACAAATGGGAAATCCTAAAGATAAGCCTTTGCATACAGAAATTTGCACAGTTTTGACTGAGCTGTCTAATTAATTCGATAAATATTTACTCAGGAAGAAAACAGAGGTGAATATAACAGCATCCTTCATATTTAGGGGTATTTAATATTAATATAATGAGAAAAAGTGAAGTGCACTTTGGTAGAGATAATGTTTATTAAACACTTAAATGTCATACACTTTGTTAGATGTTTACACAGATCAGCCCATTTAATTTTCACAACATCCACCTGTTACAACATACATAAAGTTAACGAAGAAGAGTGCTCCATGACTGAAGACTGGGAAGCAGGTGACTATTAAATGTGATTAAATACAACTCAATGTGATATATGACCTCAGCATGAACAGCTTCAGGACAGAGGAGGAGACATGAGATTGAAGTAGACAGAAAGGAACTGGATAATAAGGAAATGAAAGCCAAGAGCCACACATTTGTGTTGGACATTAAAAGAGATGGGTTGATTGTAAAAATGAATGCAAACGAGGTCACGGTGTCCACTCTAAGAAGCTTATAAAGTCCTTGCTATCTCCTTTCAGTGCATTTGAGAGAGAGAATTTGGTGTCCTTTGCACAGTGATGTTTATTGGGGTTAGGGTCACGAAATACTTTTTTTATACTGACAGACACTGTCTAAGTCCTAAACATTGTAACATTTCCAGAAGATAATTCTTGGACTAATGAATAATAATCTATCTTTCTCACTTATGACATTTAAAACCAAAGTGGAGAATCAGGCCACAGTATTACAGTTCAGAGTGAATGAAATCTACATAAATTATGTAAAACATTCACTTTCATTTGTTTTTCTTTTATTTTTATAATTATAAGTTGTGAAGTAATTTATTCTACCAATAAATATTCTGTTCTGTCTTCAATAACAGAATTGGATGGATGGGCCTAAGAATTACATTAAAAATGATACCAAAGTGGTATTACGTATAAAATACATTTTAAAGTTGAATTTGCAAATGAGCATTATTCCTGTGTTCTCTTTGTACTGTCCTTAATAATATGCATGCCCTTCCTCATTTCACTGATATTGTGTGAAATGTACACCCAGGTACTTTCCCAGAATAAACAATGATAGATCTGTCAAGAAATCACAAGCTAAAGTCATTTTTTAATTAAAAAGATAAATAATTTATAGAATTAAACACACCAAATGGAAATTGTTGCTGAAAAGAGCTAGCTTGTGGCCTTTTTTAATATTCACAAGGGCCTATCGCTACATTTCTGCACCTGCCTGAGTTTTCGTTGGCCCCACATCATATACTTTGATGTATTTTATTTTCACTTTTTATAAAATTTCCCAACCTTTCATGATCATCTAGCAGTTAGGTTTCTAGTTTCCCCTGGCCATTATTTTGTCAAATTTATTCTCTTTATTAAGATTTGTTCCTCTCTTTTATGGCATTCAAAAACAGGTCTAGCCTGGGCAACAAAGTGAGACCCTGCCTCTGCAAAAAATAAAAATATTAGCTGGGTGCTGTGGCCTATGCCTGTAGTTCCAGCTACTCGGGAGGCTTCGGCAGGAAAATCCCTTGAGGCTGGGTGCAGTGGCTCACGCTTGTAATCCCAGCACTATGTGAGGCCAAGGCGGGTGGATCACTTGAGGTCAGGAGTTCCAGACCAGCCTGCTCAGCATGGTGAAACTCTGTCTCTACTAAAAATACAAAAACTAGCCAGGGGTGGTGGCATGCACCTGTAATCCCAGGTACTCAGGAGGCTGGGGGCAGGAGAATCACTTAAACCCGAGAGGTGGAGGTTGCAGTGAGCTGAGACTGCACCACTGCATGCCAACCTGGGTGACAGAGCGAGACTCCGTTTCCAAAAAAGGAAAAGAAAAGAAAAGCCCTTGAGCCCAGGAATAAAGGGTGTAGTGAAGCACAATTGAGTCACTGCACTTCTTGTCTCAAATGTGTGTGTTTGTGTCTATTCTTCCATTTAGTAGGCAACATACACATTTTTCATGCTCAATTTTAATACTTTAAATTTTAATATCAGCTTATTTGGCCTAATTCCTTTTGATATATTTTCTAATTAAGAGGTAAATATAGGGGGATTGTCTATCATTTACACCTTTAATCATCTGCACACTTTTAGATGGGGGAATAAAACATGCCAATCAAAATTAATCCACACATGCACAAATGTGTATTAGAAAATGTAAAGAAATAAAAAATACACAAAGTTTTAGCTCTTAGTCAATAGTCACATTTTGAGGATTACCTATTAGTATATACTGACTCAAGAGTATATACATATGTATATACATATATACATATATATTTATTTAATTTGGAGAAAGGGTCTTACTCTGTTGCCCAGGCTGGAGTGCAGTAGAACGATCACAGCTTACTGCAGTCTTGAACTCCCAGGCTCAAGTGATCCTCCAGAATGAGCCTCCCAAGTAGCTGGGATCGCAGGTGCATGCCACCATATCCAGTTAATTAAAAAAAAAAAAAAAAAACATTTACAGAGATAGGGTCTCACTATGTTGTTCAGGTGGGTCTTGAACTCCTAGGCTTAACTCATCCTCCTGCCTCAGTCTCTTAAAGTGCTAGGATTACCTGTGTGAACTACCACATCCAGCTGGGAGTATGTATCTTGATAGAAAGTTTACATTTAACTGTAATAGTCCATAAAATTTTAGTCAGGAAGCCTTGAAAATGGAATATATGATATATGTGCAATATCATGTCATTATTGTCAATATTATGTCAAATATGTAAAAGGAGTTTCACTGTTTTTAACTTACCGTCAGAAAGTGTAACCACTGTTATATCATCAGTAGAGACGCCCGGACCATAGCGATTATAAGCTAAGAATCGAAGACTATATTCGGTGAATTTTTTCAGGCCTTCCAGTTTATAAGATAGTCCATCAACCTCTATATTCTGGAGACATAAAACACCAAAACTGTTATCAAGGAAGCACATTAAAGTAGAAATGGCACTCATTCTGTGCAATCAGTGAATTGGACATTAGACTCTTACAAACTACACTCCAGCCTTCTAATGAGCTATAAAACCTACCTTGTGACACAGACTCCCCCACTAAAAACCAACTAATCTGTAGACTCCTTGTTAAAACAGCACATGCTATTTTTACAGTCATTAAGTTCCAATTTGTTTAACACTACTCAATGTACTGAATGGTTTGGGTTATTCTACCCACACCTAAACCCTCACAGGCAGAAGGCAGCTTATAACGCCATGGGAACAGAGATTTTCTCCTGTACCCAAAATGGAATAATTCACCAAGAAATAATAGATTTTGTGCTTCTCTTGCTGAAATATACCCACAGCTCTTGAAACTGTCAGACACTTTGCCACAATTTTTATCTCCCAAAATGCTGTTAGATTGGTTGAAATTATTTGAGCCTCTCATGGCTGCAGTAAATGAGATACTGGAGGTGAAGGTTACTGAGGAATCAGATCTTCACACTCACATCTATCTTGGATGATGATGGTTTTGAATTTATTTAAATTGGTTGGCAAAATGCGTTGAAGAGCTAAAATATATAGAAAGGCAGATAAAACAGAAAGTTGAAAAAACAAGAGCAAAAAATAGCTTGAAGATAGCAAGAAAAAAATACAACCCATGATTACATAGGAGGAGCTCTTGTAATGCTTATCTTATAATATAATTTGGGACTGGGCTTGAGCTATTTTTGAATATAAAATATTTCTTATTTTTAAGTAAAAATTCTGATCATGCAGTTTATGTGAAAGCAGGAAGGCCTTTCTATGCTTGACAAGCTTCACAACAAATAATAAGAACTCCCATATCCTGGGGCCAATTTTTGATTTAACTATTGAATATATACATGTCTGTATATATTTTCCTACATGAAGTTGAGAATCTGGAAGTAAATACCTCAACAGTCATACATATATATATGCATTATAAATATGTATACATATATTATATATATGTATACATATATGTATTATATATTATACATAGATATGTATTATATACATATAGATGTATAGATATGTATTATATAATACATACATGTATATATACATAGATATGTATTATATATAATACATGTATATACATAGATATGTAATACATATACATTATATATTATATATACTATATATAACACATACATATACACATATATGTATATATACATATATACATATATGTGTTACAATACATATATGTATATATACATATATACATATATGTGTTACAATACATATATGTATATATACATATATACATATATGTGTTACAATACATATATGTATATATGTGTTACAATACATATATGTGGTATATATGTGTTATAATACATATATGTGGTATATATGTATTATGTATAACACATATATGTATATATACACATGTATATGTATTATATATGTATACGTATATGTATTATATATGTATATGTATATATGTATTATATAATATATAATATATGTATATGTATTATGCTTATATATGTATTATACATGTATAATACATATACGTATATATGTAATATATATGTATTATATAGGTATACATATTATATATACACATATATATGAAACTCAATTTCTATTTTTAACATATGTGTGTGCATGTATCACCAAATAGAATTTTTCAGTTTCATGTGTCTCCCTAAAGACCTTTTTACTTTTAGTTTACCTGAACAGTTAATTTGCTTCTTTTCAGGTGTCTATGCTAACCATTGGGTAGGAGCAAAATGTAAGGAGAAGGAGACTAGGCTTCTCAGAGTAAGTTCTTCTGAAAACATTAAAAAATGGTAGGACACATCCTGATGATGGAAGGGAGTTAGATATAAATGTCTTAGAATGAAAAAAGCAGTTTGGCAAACGCCATTGACTAGGAGGGCAATCACCCCTTAGTCTAAGGAATAAAACTGCAAATGCCTTCCACGACCAGGTGAGTTAATACAAATCTGGTTGCCCACACACGCCAGGCCACTGCAGACTCAACCAAAAAATTGGTATCCTTTCTATTGACTTCACTTTATTGCCCATTTACCTCTTACCACCAGAATTTAATTAAATTGTGTAAAGTTTCCAATAACAAGTGCTTTAAAACTAATCAGCTTTTCAATGAATGTGTTAACACTGGGCTGTTTCAAGAGTTTGCGAGTCTTTTCCTATTTCTCCAGCCCTAGAGCTATCCAATGGATGGAAACATCCAACAGATGGAAGCAGTGTGGTCCATTCCTTCACCTACCTGTTCTTTTCCTGTGGACACCTCAGTGCAGAACAATCTGTAACCTTGGACTGGACCGTTTGCATAGGCAGGGGGTTCCCAGGTAATAAGAATTGAGGTAGGTGAGGTAGATACAGCTTGCAGGTTTTCTACTGGCCCTGGAACTTGCACTGTATAAAAAAATAATAAAGAAAGAAAGAAAAGTGATTAGGATAAGTGGGTTTTTGTTCTCAAAACAAACAAAATTACATTTTTACAGTTCAATAAAATTCTAGGAGTATGTATTTTAGAATAATATGGAATAAGAATATAAAAATATAAACTCTGGAAGCTTTAGAATCGCTTCATTTTAAAATTCATAAGAAAGCTTACATTAACCAAAATTGCCTATTTTATTTTACATTTAGAGAAACTGGTAAAGGAGTACAAGTGACTAAGATAATGGCAGCAAAGAGTGGGATTGTGAATCTAAATTCTTAGTCTGAAAAATTTGCCACTATGCCACTATGTCTTTGCCTGCACATGGCTAATAACTGCAGAAGGAAAAGAGAAAGTACATTTGGAGTACTTGTATATTATGGTTCTACTTATAATTAAAATAGGTCGCACAGCTATGGATAATTTACCACATTGTCTTTCTTTAAGTCAGAGTTTTAAAATCTTGCCTGATTCTGGGTTCATTAAATGAATTTTAGTGTTCCATTTTCAATTCCACTTTTTAGTATTACATTTTCTCTTATTATTGTTACTTAAGAAGGATAAATAACTTGTCTGCTAATGAAATTAGACAGCACAGATCCACAATCGTTTACCTAAAACACTTTTTTTTTTTTTTTCCAGAAACAGAGTCTTGCTCTGTTTCTCAGGCTGGAGTGCAGTGGCATGATCACATCTCACTGCAACCTTGAACTCCTGGGGTCAAGCAATCCTCCTGTCTCAGCTTCCTGAATAGGTAGGACTACAAGCATGCACCATCATGACCAGTTATTTTTTTATTTTTATTTTTTGTAGATACTGGGTCTCACTATGTTGTTGCCCAGGACAGTCTTGAACTCCTGGCAAGCGATCCTCCTGCCTTGGCATCCCGAAGTGCTGGGATTACAGGTGTGAGACACCACACCCAGCCCAGGTATCTTAAGATTTTGAAACTTTCAGATTTTAGAAAAGTAACATAGTATCTGTGCAGGGTTTTTTTTTCTTTTTTCCCTAATGGGGTCTGTAGTAGCACCCTGTTAATCAAATGTAACTATATATTTGCAGTAAAGCATATGATACTCATATCAAATTGTTTACATTGTTAATCAAATGTAACTATATATTTGCAGTAAAGCATATGATATTCATGCCAAATGGGCTCATTAGAGACTATGAATAGCCTAGCATGAGGTCAGGTCAGGTTCAGATACAGAATGTGTTAAGAAAAAGCTTCCATTTTGATTCTCTGCAAATTTTGTATTTTTTCATAATTTTGTATTCCTGCATATGGACCTGTATATAGCTTGTAAATGGTAAATGCAATGGCCACACTATGGTTACCTAAAATCAACAAATGATACCACCATTCCAGGTTTAACTACAGCCTTACTTAATAATGTTGTCTGTGTATTTTCCCCAGGCTTGGATAACACCTAGCTTTGGACAGATATACATTGTAGGCCTGTAATACAGTTCTGAGAGTTTGAACTTCCATAGCAAAAATGGCATAGGAAAAACTGACTGGCATGAATCTGTTGATACACTTCTTAGATCAGCGTGGAACCTAACAGCGTAACTCTGCATCATTTTTCAAGATTTATTCCATGGAACCCAGGCCCCTTATGGTATCACTGCTCATACATTCATTTGGAAAAATATTTCTATTCATGGCAGAACATGTATTAATGTCACCTTCACATATTTCCCATCAGTCCTGGAACCTTGAGATTCCTTGTTCTTAACACTGTATTTTTTTATCTTTACAAATTACTGTGTTTTTTTTCCTTCTTGCCATTAAAAAGGTATTAAATAATTTAAAACCAAAGGAAATTTTAAGAATGAGGATAGTGCATAGAACAGCCATGTTTCCTTTATCCAGACTTACCTATTGTCAACACTTTGAAATATATATACCAAAATATTCCTTTCTGTATAATTACATACACACACACACGCACACACACACACACACACACACACACACACACAAGAGAATCTATATATCATCAGAATAAGCTACCCAAATCATTTCTCCTTAATCCTAAATACTTTGGTACATATTTCTTAAAAATAAATGTGTATATGAATAGTATAGTTCTCAACTTCAGTGAATTTAATATTAACACAATACTTTTATCTAATCTTCATCTGCATTTTGGCAACTGACCAATAATGTCATTTGTGTAGCACTCCCCTCACCAATTTAGGATCCAGTTTAGGGTCAGGTTTTGTTGCCATGTCTTTCCAGGCTGCTGTGAGTTGGAACAGTACTAAATACATTGACTTTCAGGCAACTGATATTTTTAAAGAATCTAGCCCCTTTTTATAAATAAAATGTTCATCATTTTGAATGTGTCTCTGTCTCATGTTAGACTTAGGTTATGCATTCAGACAAATGAAATGTAAATGATCTGTTCTCAGGGCATCACATCCAGAGGCACAAGCTCTCTCTCTGGCCTCATTTATGATTCCAGAACTGAGTACTTGGCCAAGCAGAATTTGAAGGTCCCCTACGCCTTCCCAGCCCTCTACTCTACCACTTACAACTAATAAGCAACCCATGGGGAGATAACATTAGGACCATATAAATATGCTTGTTATCAACATTTCCCATAGATTTAGCATCTACTAATGGTTCTTGATGGAGTCCATTTCTAGCATGGTGGTTACAAAATAATGATTTTTTTTCCTATTCCAGCATTCCTTTCTCTACATTTACTTGTTGACACTTAGCATTTGACTATAAGCAAAAGTCCATATTTTTCTCTTTTGTGAATCTTTTATTTCAATGGGCACATGGATTCCTTTTTATAATCTATAATTCATTATTGTCCTTAATTATACTGGTGTTCAAATTTACCCAGATTCAACTAGGGAAGCTCTTTTTAATCGTTTTTCTCTGTCCCTGTGACATGCCCCATTGTTTATTGGAGTACCTCTTTTCTTTTTGGCATAATATGTTCCAGGCTCATCTTGATCTTGCCTCAGCTCTAGAAAAAGACATTCCTTCAAGGTTTTCTGGTTCTTTTAGTGGGGAATGGTATAAAGACAAATATTTGAATCCTAGGTGTATAAGTTGCTACTTGAGTGCATTTGCTTCTAGGTCTTTTTGGTGAACAGAGCTAAGAAACATGTGTGCATGCATACATACGCACACACATATATTTACACAAATGTTTATATACATATACACAGACAGTACATATGTTTCATGACTCCAAAGTAATGCATCCCATTCCAATCCATCTCTACTGGGTTTTGTCTTGCTCTCCTCATTCCTCTTTGATGTGTTATTTCACAGAAAGAACCCTTACTCCTAGAGAGTTGTATTTTCACAGACACTTTATGAGTGTCTCCACTTCAATATTCTTCCAGGAAGAAATACTTTTTCTATGAAAAAGCTCTATGTTCCAAAAAGGAGACTTTAAGAGAAAAAGTTGAACAACGAGGAGTCTTAAAGTGTACAGTGATGCATTAGTATTGTGTTATAACAAAGCAGACATTTCCTTAATGGGAAAAAAATGAAACAAAGCAAACCAAAAATGTGTCCACTAATATTGTTCAAGTGGATGGTCACAGTACTGTATTTTAAAGAAAAAAACATAAATAATTTGTATGCTTATACTATTATTGATATATTCACAAAGACAACGCACATATTTCAAGAGGGGACATTTCTGATTCTGAACCTATTATTCCTCTACAGAAGGCAGAGAAAGGAACGAGAACATTGAGACTGAATGACCTGTTAAGATATATGCCGTATGTGAGGGATCCAGAATTGTGATATGGTGCAGACAGTGCATAAACATGTGGCCCAGTTGATAAGTAAAGTACTCATTGAATGTGTTCCTTCTTGCTCTCTTGTGGCCACATGGAAAGGGTGTTCTTTGTTGTGAACATGGCTCAATCTGGGAGCAGAGATTTGGATTTTAAAATGACCCAACTCCAAGGGCATCACTCCTCCTGTGACTTGTAACACATTCAAAGCAGGTGAGAGCTGAGCCCTAGTTTCCCAAACAGAACCACTCCAGGAGGACTGGGAGATGAGTGGGTATCTGGGGGAAGGGAAAGGGAGGCAGTGTGTGGGAAGTTTCTGCTCATCTCTCCCACTAGAGCACAATGGGGTGATGTGACACAATTCAAATGGACTCCAAGTTTCAAGGGGCAAAGGAGAAGAAAATGCACCTTATCTGATCCACCACATGCATAGTAGGTGGCAAATTTGCTGAGAAGGAAGGAGTGTGAGGTGTGCCCATATCACTCAGAGTTTTCTGAGGTTCCAAGTGTGGCACGGAAGAGAAGCTGCAAATGAACTGTTCATCCAGAGTGAAACCTATGAGAATATGGAAGAGCAATCTGAGAGAGCTACTTAGCAATGTAGGGGCTGTGTATGGTCTGGAGCGGGAGGTCATGCACAGCCTTACCTGACCATGACTCTGAGAATCATTGAGGCTTGGAAACTTCTGGGAAACAGATATGACAACCACACACACACTTCCGTCAGGCATCATGGGGGAAAATAGACTATAGGAATATCTGCAGCTCAAAGCAGTATCCCCATAAGAACAAACATGAGGCCACACTCCTCTCCTGCTAAGCCTAGCCAGGGCTGCTCAGTGTCCTGGTTCTTTGTCCCAGGAGAACGGCCAGTACACACTCCATTGAGTTGTGCAAGTAATTGCAGCAACTGTCTTTTCCACAAGGATATGCACAATGTTGCTACATAGAAGGGACTCATTAAATGTCAGCCAAATGAGTGATTTTATATACAGTTACAAATGTTACCATAAATCACAGGCCTAAGGCACTTTATGTAGTCTAACCCATTTGATTTTGTTGATTCATCATTGTTACTAAAAGGGATCAGAAAAGAGTGTTTTCTTCACACATCTGGTATGAACTAAAATCGGTACATGTGTCTATGTGTTTGGTGTGCATGTGAGCCTGTGGGCACTTTTCCCCATCTGATAATTTCTTTATATCTACGTAGCTTAATTACTATTGGCGGGGAAATATCAGGCAGTAAGTACCATAATTTGCACTCAGTTTACACTGGTACTGCCAATCCCAATACCCTGGGCATCAACTGCACTCTTCTGGATCATTTACTTTAAGTATTCACAACAACAGGATGCGTTTTTATCAATTGCCAGCCAAATGAGAACATTCGATTTGTTGGTGTAAAGTTTCCAACTGCCTTTTTGTTTCCTGAGAAATGACTGCCCTTTGGTACTAAATTGTTTTCTACTTCAACTCTTTCGTTGTAAAATTTATTTTATGATCTGATTTTCAAATTATTCTCATATGTTAAAATAAAAATTTCATAATTGTATGATTTGAATAAATATGAATATCAAAATATACATATATTTCATATATAAAATATCAGTGCTCTGAAATAGACCAAAATAGTGCTTGCTTGTTAGATATGTGTTTACTGCATTCCTGGCTAGTGTCGAGGCTCTGTGTTTCACTTGAGCTATTAAATGCTTACTCATCTTCACAAAAATGCCAGAAATTCAAATTCATTATTTCCCTAATATTTTCCCTTTGATTTATAGGTCATATATATATATATATGTTCTTACATATATATGAAGAATATATTATTTACATTAATTATGAAGATATGTATAGGTATGCATGTACATATATATACTTATACATTTATTCAGCTCCATATCCATAAAGTATATTTTAGTATAATTTACATACTTTTACATATGTGATACATTACATGCACATGAGCTGCAAGAGAAAATGAAATAAAGGGAGACTCAAAAATGTTCAACAATGAGGCTGGATGCAGTGGCTTATGCCTGTAATCCCAGCACTTTGGGAGGCCGAGGTGGGAGGATCATTTGAGGCCAGGAGTTCAAGACCAGCCTGGCCAACAAGATGATACTCCATCTCTACTAAGAATACAAAAATTAGCCAGGCGTGGTGGTGGGCACCTGTAATCCCAGCTACTCAGGAGGCAAAGGCAGGATAATCCCTTGATCCCTGATCCCTTGAACCCCAGAGGCAGAGGTTATATTGAGGCAAGATTGTGCCGCTGCACTCCAGCCTGGGTGACAAAGCTAGACTCCATCTCAAAAAAAAAAAAAAGAAAAAGAAAAAAAATTTTTAACAATGGGAATTAGATGTGAAATCAATACCGTTAACAGCTTCAGCCTTCCATTTCATTACATTTTAGTATGTCAGTCAAGGAACTTAATGGGCTTAACTGCTCATCATTTCGAAGATGTCTTTAATATTCCTCACTGATCCCCTCAGTTGGACAATAATTTTGTGGCAAACTGCTTCTAATTTCTCCCCATCTCCATTCAAGTTACCTATTTCTTCAAAGAATGGAAAGATTTCAGAATAGATGCATAATCTATGCAAGTAACTCATCAATCAATGTCAGCCTATCCAACTACCTTTTTTAAATTTCAATATTTCATTACAGTGGAAATTCATTATAACACCTGTATCTCAGAACAAATTAAGTACTTATGTTGGAGTAAATGAGATGTATTACATGTCACTATTTGCACTGGGAACAGTAATTTCTGACTATATATAAAAATTTATAGTATAACAGAGCACTTTATAATGAGATCTTATTGGATATTAAACCCAATAAACGGCATATAAAAGTTAGCCGAATCTTTAACAAAGCATGATTGATTACATATAATCATATTGAAGACAGGGTGTGCATGTGTGTGTCTGTATGTGTGTGTGTGTGAGAGAGAGAGAGAGAGAGAGAGCTGCTCAGTTTAATGATTTATAATTGATTAATTATAGATGACAGGATGTGTGGTTTTTTATCCCTACTCTACCTATGATAGAAACCTGTCATTAGCATCAAAGATTCCATGAACAAGCCCCTGAAATTATCTGCACATTAAAAGTTGTAATATGTATATTTTTTGAGGAGTAGGGTTCTTAGCTTCTATCATTGTATCTGAGCTTCTACCATTTCTATCCCCCAAATTTTAGCTGCCAATGGATTAGCTATCTCTGGTTTCTTTTGGTTGTGAAAATCAGTGATTCTTTATCATCAAATCATTCATAGTGATTGTTAATTACTTTATAACAGGAAAACATAATTTCACTTTAAAGAGCTATCTTCAACTTTTAATCAAATGCTACTGTTTCAAAGCTAAAATGTGTTTGTGAAATAGACTTCTATTTTATTTTCCAAATCATCGGTATTTCAAAGACATTTGAATTCATCTGCTTTAATTCACCAAATATTTTAGGTTTTATAGGATGTTGGGGCTCCTGATAATCAAGAAGTCACATAGCATATATGAATTAATACACTTTTTATCTTTTCTTTCTCTTACTCTGTTTTCATTCAACTATCTAAACATCTGCCTTCCTGTCTTCCCTTTACTGTAAGAAATTTGATATTTGCAATAATCAGAACAAAACCTAAATTATGATTTTTCATATATGTTTCTTTAAAAATCTTGGGAACTTAATTAATCCTTTTCAAAAAAGAATCTGAATATGAGGTTTTCAAAGAAAAAGCTTTAGAAGGATCAAGGCATGCCACTATCTTCCTAATACTGAACGAGGCTGATGTCTCCGAGCCATTATACTGATGTTTCTCAGCTGGAAGTCCAAAATGAAGATAAATGTTAGTGTCAGGGAATATGTAGTTGAACATTTGAATATTTAAAGTCTTTTTTAAATGACTGTGTAGTACAATGAGTTCTACTGTTCCAAAATCATCAATTTAACAGCCACTGTTAAAAAAAAAAAAAAAAAAAAACTAAAATAAAAGTGGATTTGAAGAAAAACTGTCACGTGTTGTCATTGCAGTAATGACCTATATATAATTCACATAGCCTGAATTCAGGTCAGAATTCTGTGGCTGATTCTATCCCTTTATTAGTTTGCTAATTTAAAAATGATTCTTGAGCCTATATTTAAAAATGAATAGCAAAGGACCTAAGTAATCATCTGTAGTGATCCAAATGGATTTAGACCACAAAGCTCTCTCCCTTTAAGCAGCAGCTTCCATTGCTGATGATCTGCTTAGTGAACGTGTTTCAAATGCAAGCCATTTCTGAAACTACTTACATTTATTGATAATAAAGTATATGCTTTGATTGCCTCTTTGATTTTTTTTCTCCTGTAGTTAACAGCTTTAATGATATTTCTATGAAATCTGTTTCTATTCTGTATGGGGAATGCAACATCAAAAAGCCTGCAGGCAATGTAATTATTAACATAATGAAACCTCTCCTTGACTGAACTGTACATAGTTAGGAGATAAGACAGTAATTTGGCTAGGAAGAAGCACAAACTATAGGGTAGATTTCTATTACAAAACCACAGGAGTCTGGCAACATTTGGTTGGAGGAAGCAGTTATTACCTGCTCATTTTACCTTTAGTTTTAATATTTTCTATCTGCTAACACACAATATTCTAAACTGCGCCATTACGTATGTGTGTATAAATATATATAGAACGGATGCAGATATGGATAAACACACACATATATAATGTGTGATATAGATGATGGATGTAATCTATATATTACCTTTGTACACACATATGTATATGCTTAGATATTAATGAATATTTTTGACAGCTTAATAGAAAAAAACTTCAGTGACTCCCTGTGAAGAAAATAATCTTCAAAGCAGATTTCTTGTAATTCAACCTAGAACTGGAAACAGTTGGATAATAAAGGGATTACAAGAATTGACCTCCAGATAAGGTCTTTCAGGAAGACAGCTCAGATTTTTCACTAACACAACCAAGTAGTAATAACCTTGTGAAGTATGTAGAATATGTTTTTAATGTAGAGCTTTTTGAATTTTACTTTGGAAAACATAAGCAATGCTTAGTAATGCAAATTGTAGTGAACAACGAAGATTCTGGACTGCATGGTGGAAGTCTCAAATTGTTTCAAGTGCTGATTTCTAAGTAATGTCAAATGCAACTGTTTTTGTGATCTACAAAAACTACCTACACACACCAAACGGAAGATAAAAACTTAAAGTTTCACCCAAATGTGCTTAGGTTTACATATTAAATGTTACATGTACACATTACTGACAGCTTGATGTCATATACACCTAATCACACTGACTTAAAAATAATTCCACGGTAGCCTGGGTCTCATTACTCCCCATTGTGATTGAAATGTTTAGATAAAAGTACCACGTGATTTTAAAGTCTAATAATAATTTCTATGTGTTCAGCATACAGTGCTTTCTCTAGAACTATGAACTTTTATTAGAAATTTTCAAGGAACTTAGGAAGGACAAAATGCACAGAAAACACCTAGAAATGAACAATATATCATATATAATCAAGGCTAAAAATTATCTGGACAACCAAACATATAGGAATTCCAGAAATAGATCTATTGATGAGATACATAGGAATCTGGGATGATAACGGAGGGCTTAGTTAAGAACATTTCTTGAAGAACAATTAAGAATTGCATAGATGGATGAATGAAGGATGAATCCGACGAGACAGGACACATCAGGAGGAATGGGTTGAATGGGTAACATACTTGACATGAGCCTTTCCAGAACAGAACTTACAAGTTGGGAAATGGAGACAAAAACGACCCTATACCTCGTGGAAGGCTTCAGATATGAGGTTTTCAAGTAAAAACAATGAGAATAATTCCAAGATGAACTAAATTAATGATCGCACATTTCATCTCGTATTGAGGAAACCACATTTTTCCCCAAAGCATGGAATTACCATTAAGTTGTTTTCCTAATAACCACCATCAACAAATCAAATAATGTTTTGCCAATCTCAGAAAAATGTAGTCTCTTTCATGAGACTCAAAGAAAGTTAAAAAATCATCCATTTTTCTCAAGATGCTTGTCTCAGAAAATTCAGTTTAGGTACAAGTATTCACAGAACTCTAATTTTCAAATGAATTGTCAAGGCCTTTTGACAAAATCACATAGAAAAGTCAGAAACTATCTCTAAGATAACTAGTGCTTTTTTAAAAAACATTTCAGGTAGGATTGAAACATCTTAGTTTTGATTCCTGAGTCAAAAAACCCCTTCTCCTACTTGATATTAGTGTATCCTTGGGCCAAGTATTAAATACTCAGAGCATCATTTTCTCAGGTATTCATTATTTCTGTATCGCAGAGCTAGCATAAGGATTATATGAGATTATATGAAAAAGCAAGTGTTCAATATAATATGTTAGTTAATATTGTTACCTGAAATCAAGACCCTGAAGCTTTTTCAAATATTGGTTACCTCATTAGACAATTGGAGGAAGAAGTATTTAATCTTCTTAACTGTCAGTATTGTTAGAAGAACATGAAGAGATTATGTATGCAAAGGGTAGATGGAAAACATAGCATTCCATAGATGCCTAAAAGGATGTGGCCCAAGTTCTGACCAAGATTATGCTTAAAAACCAAACCTGGGCCGGGCGTGGTGGCTCACACCTGTAATCCCAGCACTTTGGGAGGCCAAGGTGAGTGGATCACCTGAGGTCAGGAATTCAAGACCAGCCTGGGCAACAGGGTGAAACCCTGTCTCTACTAAAAATACAAAAATTAGCTGGGTGCAGTGGCACGTGCCTGTAATCTCAGCTACTTGGGAGGCTGAGGCAGGAGAATCGCTTGAGCCCAGGAGGCGAAGGTTGCAGTGAGCCAAGATTGTGCCATTGCACACTCCAGCCTGGGCAACAGAGCAAGACTCCATCTAAAAAAAAAACAAACAACAACAAAAACAACAACAACAAAAAACCACCACCACCAAACCTGGCCAACAGAGTCCCTGATAGAAAAGCCAGGATGATCCAGACATGTGACATCACCGATATAAATGGAGCCTTTTAACCTCCTCATAAATAATCCACATCGAGTTTCATTTGTTGTTATATCTCCATACTCTACAAACCATAAATTGATGTTTAATTCTTTAGAAGACTCCCAAGCAGAAACCTTCAGAAAGGGCATTCACTGGCTTCTTGCTTACTTCACATTGATTTGAGCCTGTATATATCTCAAGATTGTATTTCTGCATGCAAAAATCTCAGTTCTCTATAAATAGATATGCACCAGAGGCAGGTGTCTTCAGCTTATGCACAACTCAGAGTGTTTCCCATGGTGATAATGTGACTAAACCCAGCAACCTTTCTCAAAATTGGCTTGTATTATGGTCAATATGGGAACAATCAATATCTGATGTTTGTAGTTTTAATAGAGCAATAAATGACAGGTATAGATTGCTTTTATAAAAAAGCCCTGCTGTCATTTATTAGAGGAAAAGGAAGCAAGTAATCTTTTTTCAGACAGTCAAGTGAGCAGATTTTTCTACATAATGAAAAAAAGATCCTACCTTAAAAGATACCATCTCTTCGGGGAATCAATTTATTGTTTATCTATTTCAAGGCTTTAAAAGATAAGGAACTGCCTTGAGTAAACTGGCTCTTTTGGGAGGGAATATAAATTAAAGAAGAAATTTAGCACTCTATTCTCCTAACACGTAGGTTTCACGGAAGTCAGAGTTCCGGGATGCTTTGATGCCCAAGATGCCAGCAAATCCCATCTATTACATCTTGGGTAACAGAGACCAGCAGTAAAGGGTATACCCTCCAGAATCAGAGATTTAGGGTTCAAATCCAGAAGACTCACTCAAGCTATGTGGCTAGGATCAAGCTATTTAATGTCTTTGTGTTTAAATTTCCTTATTTAAAAAAAAATGGGCAGTGCTTACCAGATAAGTTTGTTGTGAAGATTAATAATAAATAATATATGAATTATATCTGGCAAAAAGGAAATGCTCAATGAATGTTAACTATTTTTACAGTGTTCCAGGCACTGCGGGGATTTGAGGGGAAAGAGTGAACACTTCCATAGAACTCACAGTCTAATATGGCAGGACCCTAAGGTGCAGGGAGGAGAGGAGTCCAAATGAGGTGAGAAAAATTCTCGGGGGCAGGTCCATGCCAGGCCTTAAAAGCCTTGGGAGGATGTGGATCTTTTATTCTAAAAATCAGAAAGAAATTCCCATTTTAAGCATTTTTCACTTTGTCTACTGTACACAGACAGTGAATTGAAGGGGCACAGATGAGTGTTGAGATATCAATTGGTAGAATATTCCATAGTCCAGAAGAGAGAGGAAAACAGCTTGAATTAGAATAATGGCTGGCCATGGAGATGAAAAGAAGGGCAGGGATTTAAGAGCTATAGGGACGGTAAAATCAACAGGACTTGGATTGGTGGTAAGAGAGTGAAGTTGATGGAAGCATCAGGAATGACTCCTGCAATACAGATTTGCATAGCTAGGTGATTCTGGTGTTGTTCACTGAGAAAGGAAACACTGGAATAGACTAAACTGGGCATGCGTGTAGGTGGAGACGTGTGGGTGAGTGAATTCACAGGTTTGCCACCACACTGGCTTTGAGGCAGTTCACTGTATACAGAGATGTCCAGCTGGTTATTCATTCCTGTATGAACACTCATAACCTAACATCTTCCCCTATCTTCTCTTCTTTTAATTTATAAGCTCCCAGTTAGATAATTTCACACCCTACTTCTATTAATGGGCACATCACAAACTATTTTCTTCTTTATTTCTTCTTCAATTTTCTGCTTTTTCTATTGATTGATAGTCAGCTGCTTTTCAGGAAGACCAGCTAGTCTCCAGATCTCGTGATCATCTGTTTGCTCTGTTTCCCACCTAGCTTAACTCCTCCAAACTTACACCTTGATCTTTTTTTAGGGACTCAAAATAATTTCCCTAATTAACAGACCAGACTGTGCTACAGTACTTTTTTTCTGAGCAATGTATATGTACATTGAGGAATTTTTCTCACTCTTTCTCCATACTTGAAAAAATGAGCCCAAGATAAAATATCTTTCCCAATAGCAGCAACAATAAAAATTCCAGTAACAATGAACCCAGGTACACATCTGACCTTGACAATACTGAAATTAATATTCACTTTGCGATTTCGCTGACATTTATCACTGAGAAGCACCTTTAACGCCCTTCCACATACATGCATGCAATGGAAAGATTGATAATCACACAGGGCAGAAAACCTAGTTTTCCTGTATCTCTAAGAAGCATCTCAAAGGCTTCTGGTCGGCTGACTGAACCACCCTGAGGATTAAGTTTATTTTATTTTCAGTATTCAAAAGATAAGAAGTTTATTAACCACATGGAAGGTTTGGGCTTGTTCAGAGATAGCAGCAGGAAGACAAATAGACTTCAGCAGTAAATCGTCTCACAGAAGCTGGAGAATGACTTTAGGTAAAACTGAATACGGGAACCCTGGTGTGCTGCTCTGGATCAACAATTCCCCTTTCTCTAGCCAACCCCACTTTTGCTTTTATTTCTATTGGTGACACAAAGTGCCAGATCAACAGGAAAAAAAAAATGACTGACTCATGCTCAAGAGCTGTTATCATGCTGAGTAAACACTGAGTAAAATAAGGAAAACAGTTAACTATGAATGTTATTTAGATAACTTTTAGAAACAGTTATTTGAGAAGAGTTAAATTTAACCACTGTATTTTGGTAACTCGAAAACTCAATTTAATTTCAGATTGTCAACCTTCTTGACTTCCTTTTGACTGGACATAAGACACAAGCAATATACATATAAGCAATCACTGTCCAATATGAATATAAGCTACAAATACATGTAATTTAAATTTTCTAGTAGGCACATTGAAAGTAAAAATAAGTGAAATTAGTTGTAATACTACAAAATTAAATATTTTTAAGAAGATTGGCAAAAATACTATAAAAATATGAGGTTATAAAGAAAATACAAAACATATTATATCCAAAGTGATAAAAATTAATCAAGCTGTTTAATTTAAACACTCTGTGGCATAAATAAAAATGTAAGTGATATGTTAAATTTATTATTATATTGTTTTTGCTCTTAAATAATATGTTAGATAATGAACCATACCATCAAAATTAACATCTACTCATTTCTGGGAGTCCTCAACATTTTTGTGAAGAGCTTATACTGAACTACAAGCCAATTAACCCCTCTGAAGAATAGAAGTAGTAATCATTATTTTTTATTTCACTGCAAGGCCATAGGAGAGGGCTTTGAATCAAGAAATTCAACTGAGAGTTAAAATCAAATAGGTGATTTATAGCAGATAGTAGAAATTATGTGCCTAGCATGGTCGTTGGCATGACGGTTAGTATAATTCATCCAGGCTGGCTTAATCTCACCAAAGCTGAGATTTTTTGTTTGTTTGTTTGTTTGTTTCTTAAGACGGAGTCCGCTCTGTCTCCCAGGCAAGAGTGCAGTGACGCGATCTCGGCTCACTGCAAGCTCCGCCTCCCAGGTTCACGCCATTCTCCTGCCTTGGCCTCCCCAGTAGCCGGGACTACAGGCGCCCGCCACCATGCTAGGCTAGTTTTTTGTATTTTTAGTAGAGAAGGGGTTTCACCGTGTTAGCCAGGATAGTCTCCATCTCCTGACCTCGTGATCCACCCGCCTCAGCCTCCCAAAGTGCTGGGATTACAGGCGTGAACCACTACGCCCTGCTGAGATTTTAAAAATATTATGTTGTCACTGCTATGTTTTCTGAACTAATTTTTATCAATGGTGAATTAATAAGAATTTTAACTCATTAAAGAACTGTTATCAAAAGGTAATTAATGTTTGATCATTTTTCCTGAAACGATCATGGCTAATCTTAGTTTGTGTACACACACACACACACACACACACACACACACACACACACACACAGAGTTAGCAGTGTAGTAGGAATATTATGCTAGGTTCAAACTCTGGCTCTGACACTATTAGTTTTTTTGCATTTAATTTTGTCATATCTAATGTAGGAGTTGGGTTGGGCCAGAATTCTTGCTTACAGGATATTTTACAGGTCAAAGTATTGCTATTCTTCTGAAGTTGAAAGATTTTAAGGTGATGGCACACAATTACTGTTTCAGGCCACAGGTGTTAAAAATCAGAGTCCTGGCCAGACATGTCGGCTCATGCCTGTAATCCCAGCACTTTGAGAGGCTGAGGTGGGTGGATCACCTGAGGACGGGAGTTCAAGACCTGCCTGACCAACATGGAGAAACCTGGTGTCTGCTAAATATACAAAATTAGCCGGGCGTGGTGGCGCATGCCTGTAATCCCAGCTACTCGGGAGGCTGAGGCAGGAGAATCACTTGAACCTGGGAGGTGGAGGTTACAGTAAGCCAGGATCGTGCCATTGCACTCCAGCCTGGTCAACAAGAGTGAAACTCCGTCTCAAAATAAAATAAAATAAAAATCAGAGTCCTGTTGTTGGCATCAGTGTCTGGAAGAAAACCAGGGGTTTTTATCAACTGAAGGTCAAACAGTAGAAATCCAAGCATGTGGTCAATGTCTGTAACAGATCTCACAGGCACCTTCAGCAAAATCTGTTATTTGGCTAACTTCATTCACTTATTAGTTTCCTTCAGGCCACCTAAGCAGTTTGCAGTCCTTAATATTCAGAAAGTGCTATGTCCTACAACTTACAAGGCAGGGTTAGAATTCTGAAGAGATGAAGAAGGTAAGAGCATAGCAAATATGATTTTAAGGACACTAGGGATGTCTGTTAATACCAACATTTCTACTTTGCTTGAGAGGCAGTGACTGAAATGGTTTTTAAAATGAAAAATATAGCTTGCTAATTAATGTATGTATATACCTGTAT
This sequence comes from Homo sapiens, assembly GCF_000001405.40. Taxonomy (NCBI): domain Eukaryota; kingdom Metazoa; phylum Chordata; class Mammalia; order Primates; family Hominidae; genus Homo; species Homo sapiens. The sequence goes on along the minus strand of NC_000018.10, from coordinate 53,189,515 downwards.
AGACATACACTTTAATTTTCTATATGTATACATATATGCTATATGTACATATACAATTATATATATATACACTATATATGGAAAAGTTTATATATATATAAAATTGTGTTGGCATTGCTATGTTTTAAGCTGCCTGTGAAAACTTACTAACATTGACCACAGGTTTGGATTTCTACTGTTTGACCTTCAATTGATAAAATCCCTAAAATGTTTTTCTTCCAGACACTAATGCCAATATCTGGACTCTGATTTTAACAGCTATGACCTGAATATATATACACACACATATATACATATACACATATCTACACATATACACATATATACACACACACATATATATACATGCACATAAATACATACAAACATAATATATACTTCATAGTTTGCTCAGTCCTCCAACAGATGACATTGAATCGTACTAAGAATCTGTAAGAATTCTTACTAAGATTCACAGGGCAGTATATCGGGTTGAATAGTACTCCAAAAATTCATGTACACCCAGAACCTCAGAATGTGACCTTATTTGATGACATATCTTTGCAGATATAATTAGTTAAGACAAGGTTATACTGGATTTTGGTGCATTCCAAGTATATTATAAGAAGAGAAGAGGACTCACAGAGACACAGAGAGGAGAAGGCCATGTGGAGATGCAGGCAGAGACTGAAATTATGCAGCTACCAGCCAAGGAATGCCAAGGATTGCCAGAAGCCACCAGAAGCTAGGAAGAGGCAAGGAAGGATTTTTCTGAAGCATTTTCAGAGGAAATATAGCCCTACTGACACCTCGATTTCGGACTTCTAGGCTCCAGAAAGGTCAGAAAATACATTTTGTTGTTTGGAGACACCAAGTTTGTGGCACTTTGTTAAGGTAGCCCTAGATAAATAATGCAACACCCAAATGGGTTAACAAGTTCACTTACTTATTTCTAAGGGAGACATTTGAAAAATCAATGAAATTGAGGTAAATTGTGTAAGATCAGTTAGCAGTGTTCCTTAATGAGGCTTTTCTAGTGCCCCTTCATATTATCCCAAAACAAGCAGTATGATCCTTATTTTATAAAAATTTGAGAATCAGACCAGGTAACTGACTTCCCCAAAAACAAACAGCAGAATACAGATAAATCTCAGTCTAGAACACAGATCTTTTGCTTATTTTTTAAAGTGATATTTCCATTTCAGGAAGAGAAACTGCCATTATTGTAAGCCCATTGTTTAGGATAAGCATGCCTGTACTTAGGAATCTAGACATAGGCCTTGGGCTCTCACTAATGCACTGACGTATTCTATGGCTAGCCTTAAAAGCTCTGGTCCCCAGGTTTATTGGTTGCACATTTCAATGGTTGGAATCTACTATCTTAAAGTGTTGATGGATTTAAAATTATGTTTCAGGGCACCGGGAAATGTGTCAGACTCTGGGTACCCAGAGTTATAATTTATAACACCAATTATAGGTTTAAATAAGAGGACAATGTACAAGTTACTAGCACTGACCATGGGCTTAGAGTTCCATTGCTTGACTTTCAATTGATACAAATCTGTGGTCATTTCCTTCCAGAAATGAGTGACACCATCTCAGCTTTGACTTTAACAGCTACAATTAGAAGCAGTAATTGCTTGTCATAGGCTTAAAATCTTTCTATTTTAACTCATGGTAATCTCCGCTCCCTGCAGAATAGCCTGTAATCAGAAATTCTGTCCCAACTCAACTCCTCATTGCATGGGATCTTGGGTTCCCCAAGGAGGAAAGATTGGGCAATTAAAGTAACATAATGTAAGAACATTGGAGTTAAAGAAAAATAGCTAAAGTCATATTATTGACTTTTTATGTAACATGTAAAATTCACCATATATTACAGCAGGCAGAATATAACCTGCAGTTAAAAGAATCCATAAAATAGTACAGTAATTTAAAAGGGAGTTTTACTTAATTTTGGTGGAGTGTTAGATCAGATAATTTCTAAAATATACTAAAATATTTTATACTAAAAGGCAATATGGTTTGTGCATCAAATTATATCTGCGTTAGATTATGCATTAATTACACAATGAAACTTTGTAACACTAACTTTAGGTTAAAAAAAGGAAATAGAGCCAGGCACGGTGGTTCACTCCTGTAATCCCAGCACTTTGGGGGGCCGAGGCAGACAGATAATGAGGTCAGGAGTTCAAGACCAGTCTGGCCAACATAGTGAAACCCCGTCTCTACTAAAAATACAAAAACTTTGCCAGGTGTGGTGGTGTGAGCCTGTAATCCCAGCCACTTGGGACGTTGAGGCAGGAGAATCACACGAACTCAGGACGTGGAGGTTGCAGTGAGCTGAGATCACACCACTGCACTCCAACCTGGGCAAGAGTGCAAGATTCCATCTCAAAAAAAAAAAGAAAAAAAAAAGAGAGAAAGTAAATTTGATTCCACTTCTTTGAATGTTTGTGTCCCCTCCAAAATTTCATGTTGAAATTTAAACCCCAATGCAAATATTATAATAATCTTTTAAAAGATGATTAGGCCATGAGGGCTCTACCCTCATGAAGAGATTAGTCCTTATAAGAGGGCTAGAGGGAACAGCTAGCTCCTCTTTTTTGTCCTACCACTTCTTCCACCATGTGAGGACACACCGTTCATACCCTCTGGAAGATGCAGCAACAAAGCCTCATCTTGGAAGCAGAGACCAGCCCTCACTAGACACCACACCTGCTTAATCTCAGACTTCTCAGTCTCCAGAACCATGAGCAATACATTTCTATCCTTTATAAATTACAGTGTCAGGTGTTTTGTTATAACAGCAGAAACAGACAAAGAAAGAAACTTCTGCCCTTATTTTATTTTCTATCCCAAGCATGTTATAAAAGGCTGGATACATAGTTGGTGCTCAGTAAATACTTATGAACTGCATAGAAAAATATGCTCTAAAGATGAGGGAGTGCTTCAATACACATGTGATTAAAATGCCTTATTCCTTTCTATCTTTACCCTTTCTCAGTGGTGTTCATCAGCTCTCCATCAAAGCGGTTGCCTAAAGCAGCTCAGCTCATGTCCTTGGAGTAGAGTTTCATTCAGCTGCACCAGCATGACGACAATATCCCCGAAGATGTTCATGCTGGCTTTTGCTCTAATTCAGCTTAGCAAACCAACCGCTTTCACGTTTAGTAGGGCATATAACCAAACTAGGCGATTAAACCCAAATCAGATCTACTTAGGGAACCTCTTTCTCCTAGACTAGTTGACCGTGCTGCCTGAAAACCAATAATTATTATGACACTTTCTTATCCCCTTTCCTACACTCCCTTATGTCTATCTATGAGAAGTTAGCTTTCTTTCTATGCAATTTCTCATGAAGCAGATAAATTTTCTAGATGTTTGGTTATACCAACTGAAGAAGCCTGAATCGTACTGTGTGCTCAAAAGAAAAGAGAAAATAAGAGAGCCAGCAGAAGCTTCTTAGGGAAATTACACTTACGATATACCACTGTTCAACCCAAGCAACTAGTAAGCTATGTCCTTCACTTTCAGTTGAACTTCGGAAGATGCTTATGTATTTTTCCAGGTAATGGATTTTTAATGTGATTAACTAACTTAAGTAAATAAACAGCATATCTTCAGGTCTAGATTCTGTGGCCTTTAAAAAATCATGTCTATTATTTTAGCACATAATTAACTTTTTTGTTTTGAACAAAACTGAACAATTTTGTTCAGGGAGATGAAATCTGTGAAAGCTGTTTTTAGTGAATTCTATTTAAAGTTGTTTCCACTAGACTACCAGTTCCTTGAAAGTTAGGACCATTTCTGACTTGCATTTGTATCCTCGTTTACCAGCATAGTGCCTAGACTGCCACTGTCTGAGAGAACTTTCTGAAATAATGGAAATGTTCTCTGTGATCTCCAATACAGTAGCCAGTAATCATATATGAATTCGTGAGATGTGGCTCACAAGAGAGATAAGTTGAATTTTTGGTTTTTAATTTTATTTAAATTTTAAGTGCTACTAAGAAGTTGGAATAGGGCTATTGTGACTGACAAACTGAATTTTAAATTTTATTTTATTTCAATACTTTTAAATTTAAATAGACCAATGTGGCTTGTGGTTACTGTACTGGAAACTGTAGTTCTAGAACTTAGCACAAAATAAATATTTTTAAATGAATGAAGAAAGAACACAGTGACTCACATTTGCTTTGAAGTCTTCTAGAGGTGATTAAACAACCCATCATCTCAAGCCCACCTGTAATCCTTCCACTAATATATGTCATTATCAAAGACATCATACCTAGCCTAATTGACCATTAAATCTAAATGAATTCCTTAAGCCTTTGGTCACAGAGGATACTAAACCATAAATTTTTAACGTTCCCCATCTCTTATTTATAACACCTGAAAACATTTTTTTACATCCAGAGACTTTTAAAATAATGTATTTGTATGCTACCAAAAAAGATGTAATGCCAGTGCTTATCTTTACTTCTTTCCATTATTTATGTCTGGCCATGTACGGGATCAGACAACTGAATTGTTGTCGAGTGGACAGGTTTGCCATAGTGGTCACCCCAAATATTTATTCAAATCTCAGTGCAGTGCAGTTAATCATTGTAAATCAAGTGACAAAAGTAATGAGCTAGACAGAGCTGTGATCAACTTAGTTTGCTTAATTTATGTAACCATACTTTAATAAATATAACTGATATTTTGTATCTTTCCCAAACCATATTCTACCAGCATCAACCAACCAATGACAGCCAAGTGTCACATAACAATGTTTTGATCAGCAACAGCCCAGATATACCAAGGTGGTCCCATAAGAATATAATGAAGTTGAAAAATTTCTATCGCCTAGTGACATCTTGCTATCATATCATTCTAATGCAATGCATTACCTTTTCTATGTTTAGACATGCTCAGATGTACAAACATATACCACTGTGTTATAATTGCCTGCAGTATTCAGTACCGTCACATGCTATACAGGTTTGCAGCCTAGGAGCAATAGGCTATACCATATAGCCTAGGTGTATAGTAGACTATACCATATAGCCTAGGTGTGTAGTAGACTATACCATAGAGCCTAGGTGTGTAGTAGGCTCTACCTTCTAGGTGTGTAAGACACTATTATGTTCTCAGAAAAATGAAACAATTAATGATGCATTTCTTGGAATGTATTTCCTTCCTTAAGTGACACATGGCTTTATTTATAAAATGGCAATGCTGTGATACATCTTACGGGATAATGTAGCACTTTCTGTTCATAAGACTTCAAAATTTAGACAAGGCAATCTATAACAGCCTGCCAAATGCTAAGGAGAGGTTAATTAGGGAGAAAGTAGCAGAGTATGTAAATGTGCTGACTGTATAGTGATCAAGCTAGTTCTAAACTATAAATGAGGTATTATATTAGCCTTATTTACCCAAGTGATTACCCTGATGAGTATCCCACTTTGTTTGTAAATGTAGAGCAGTTGAAATTATGTTCTTATTTGATCCCGTTGGATCAGGGAGTTTTTTTTTTTTTTTTTTTTAAATGAGATGCCAGGCAAGACCCAGTGGCTGCCCACGTGTTATCATATTTCATTTTTGCAACTTAGGAAGAAGAGGAATAAATGATACTCCCGTTTATAGTTCAGGAAACTGAGGTCTCGATGATTGACAAACTTGCTCTAGGATACAGGTAGTAATGTTCAGAGACATTATTTGAACTTCTCTGTTCTTTTCCTAACAACCATACAAGTAGAGCCATATTAGAATTTTTAAAATCTCATGAAGGAGGAAAGAAGCAAATATGGCTATTCCTCTAGATAATATATTCTAAAGTCACTCAAATTGGTGGGTTGCTTTCACTCATCTTTTTAGTGTAAAGAATATAATAGACTAAGAATATTACTTACAACTCTTAAATCTAAAAGAGTTTTGTAGGTAATTGAGTTGTGGTCTTGCAAATAGGCTTCCCATTCTAACTCAAGCCCTCAAGCCAGTATGTGGTCCATTTTAACATCCTTTATGATTAAACCGCCTTAACAGGATCTTAAAGGACTGCAAATAATAATTCAAAAAATCTCCACATGTGGTATGAAAAGATTAGACAAGTCTTAAGCAGACAGGGACTTAAATCCTGGCTGATAATATGGTAGAGAAATTACATACCATAAAGGCAGGGGAGAATGGGCAAGGGTTTAGCAAAGGAAGATACCATCAGAGGACACAAACCTTCATATAAATCAAGCCTTTCTATTTCGAGCAATTATTTCATAAACTGGATCTTGGGCTGTCGATCTCTTTAAATGATTACTACAAAATGTATGCACTTTTAGAAACAGTTGCTGGCTGATTTATATTTCAGACATATTTTCCATCAGTTTTATTCTTTGCAAATATGGTTTGTATAATAGAGTTGATATTTTCAAATAATATGAAAAACTTGAAATTCAATTTGTATACAAGCTATGTAATTTTAGTGTACAATTACTACATCACATTTGGAAAACATTGATAAAAGCAGCAACCAAATGCATACTCAGCTGAGACCCATTTTCAAAAGATAAGATCATTTTGTCAGAAAAGAAATATTGATGAAAACGTTTTCTTTAACCTGATCTTGCCACTAAATTCTGATAGTCTAGCGAAGTCATAAAACCAGCCCTCGCATTTTCTCTTAAGGACAGAAAGATGGGCTTATAACAAAGAGGGAAGGATGGCGGGAAGGAGGAAGGGAGGAAGGAATGGGAAAGGAAAGGAAAGGAACCATAGGATCTCTGGTATATTCCATCTTCTTCAGTAATTGGGTGTCTTATTGAGCAGGCTTGGAGAAGATGAAGTAAGTGCTCCTTATCCTAGAAATACTTTCAAATTGCCAAAATGGCATTTTATGTTACCAACAGAAGATAAAATACACATGCAATGCCTATCACTCATGATAATATAATTTATTTATTCTAATGTCCGTAAGAAAGACGGCAAGTGAGTTTAGTAGTACTCAATATACATGAATTGAAGCAATTGGCTAACTCTCTTGCACATGTAAAGGATATTCTGAATGTCTTGTTTATGCAGGCTACTTTATTCCTAACTACTTATCTACTCAGTAAGGGAGGAATTATCCAGTGGCAATGTTCAGTGAAACAGAATCAAATCATAGTGCAAATAAACAATGATCTGCAAAGGTATCCTTATTCCATATACTGGTAAGAAAATGGGTAATTTAATAGAACAATGCTGTTACTAAAGGCCAAAATATGGTTAGCATTCTAAGGCTGTTATTGCTGCCATTAATGAAAAAGATTCATGGCTGCATCATGTTTCTAAAGCAGAGAGATTCTTCATTTTCATTTCTTAGAGAATAGAATTTATATGTGACAACAATACCAACAATCAGCATGTTTTATTCAGTTAGGCTTTTGTTATTTTATGCCTTATCATTTACGCTAATTGTTAAGCAAAGTAAATGCTTATAGAGACTTGGGTCCAGTGAGGTGCTCTGCACAAATTTTTCACACTGCTTTCTGAATGGGAAGGAATGTGTGATATATAAAGCATAGACATGGCTGTCATTGTAACTGGATTACAAGACTGATTTGAGGAGGTGGATGCAGTATGATCTGGGCATAAGAAATTAACTAGGTAATATGCTGCAGCCATCACAGGTCATGGGCCCACGAGCAAATCTGTGACTCAGATTGTTTGTATTCCATTTACCAACTTCTTATAAGTTCCCCTACTCGAGTTGTTTTGTTATTGTTACATATTTAAAATACCTGCTTCCCCCCAAATCTGCTGAGATCCATAAATACTGCTGCTTTATTACTCACATATGCTTTTCTAACATGCCTCATGCAGCCTGGAACAGTGTTAGGAACATAATAAATGTTTATTAAACATACTTATGAATTATGTCATTGTTTGTGTTTTACAAAGTTAAGGCCATATGTGTGATACAAAAAAATCATTATTCTTTTTAACTTAATTATATTAAAATAGCAGAATATATTGTATCATTTTATCATAGTTTTTATTTTTTTTAATTTTTATGGAATGAGTGTTCTTAGCCAGTGTCAAAAACGAAAATACTTTACTGTCCCTTGGCTTGGGAACGTTGGTGTTAAAAAAAAAAAAAAAAGAAGTAAAATTTTAAAACACTGAAAATTGCTTTCTTAAGTTGAATGCTTAGAAACAATAGTATTGATCAAGGGGAAAAAAAATGCTCATTCTTACAAAGCAAGGCTAACCAACCAGGATTTTTATCAGAAATGCAATGTAATCATGACTAGTCAGCTCTGAAAAGTACAGTATAACAATTTTACGATAATTTTAGAACTAGGAGATGAAAAATTCAGATAATCCATGGAGATTTGATCTTTTGAAAATGAGCATGCTTTTAAAGCTAGTTCCAATACTGGAAAATTTATCAAGGATTTCTTTAAGGAATTTTTCAAGAGTTTTTAAATTGTTGACCTATCTATCACATGAGATATACCATATATAGTGTGTGTGTATTATATATATGTAAAACCTAATTTGCTTTTAATCAAAAATATAAAATAGTCATAAAAGTTATTGATTTTACATAGATGATCTATGAAGAGAAAGTCAATAAAGCAATTGAGACTCAAATGTTGGGCTGGGCGCGATGGCTCCTGCCTGTAATCCTAGCACATTGGGAGGCCGAGGCAGGGGGATCACTTGAGGTCAGGAGTTCGAGACCAGCCTGGCCAAAATGGTGAAAGCTCGTCTCTACTAAAAATACAAAAATTAGCTGGGAATCGCTTGAACCTTGGAGGCGGAGGTTGCAATGAGCCGCGATTGTGCCACTGCACTCCAGTCTGGGCAAGAGAGTGAGACTCCGTCCCAAAAATAAAAAAAGAAGATTGAAATGTTATGTTAATATAGACATTATGAAGAGGAAATTGGCATTGTTTAGTGATTTAAATCAGTACAGCAACAAAACATTGCCCAGAACAGAAACCTGGGAGCAGGACCAGCTCATAGGCAGCAAAGGGTGAAGTTGTGCAAGGACTCACGTTCTGCTGTAGCCATCCCATAATCTTAATAATTTTTAACAATGTGCCCCTGTGTTTTTATTTTGCAAACAGAAATTATTTGGGTCCTACAAATTATTATTATGCCTGGGGGCCTGCATTTCCAAATAATTGTCTGGAACCTCAACATGACTATGCTTTTGAAGTTGTTGAGGTTTTTATTTCTGTGAGGCAAATATTTGTAGTACTTGCACAACTTAGCCCTCTTCCGTCCCTTCAATTAATACTTTATTCCAATTTGTTATCATCTTGTCTCTGTAGCCCTGGCCAAATGAAAGAAAGGATGGAGATTCTGTGGAAAGTGCACTCAGACTGTATCTCCTGCTCTCTCTTCTTCGACTTGCTGATTTAAACCACCCAAGAAGTGATAGAATACAAAGGTTACTCTCTCACAATTACCAGTTAAAATATTTCCAATCTCTACTTCACCTTATTCCCAAAATACAAGAGGTGATTTTGATATACCTCTTTACAGTTTCACGTAAAATGAACAGGAAATCAAAATATCATTACAAATTTTGTTATATAAAAAGGAAACAGGTACAGTTAGGTGTTTAACATAAGGCAGCTTGTTAACAAGTAGCCATGCATTTCATTTTGATTTTAAATTCCAATCGTTTTTTAATGCGAAACAAAACAAATTTGGCGAATGACTCATCAGCAACTAATCTTTTCAAAAAACATTAGAAATGCACAAGAAAAAACAAAATTTTGTCAAGTACAGAAATAGTTTTCGATATGTAATTCTGGAGCTCTTCCTTTATCAAAGTTGAAATCATTGAATTATACATTGGTCAAAGAACATTCAGCTGCTCTACTTTGTGAAAAAAAAACATAGCTGAATCTAGTGATTCAAGGTAGAGGGAGTGAGATTATCCAATAGAGGTTATCTCTCATATTCCTCAAATCTCAATTTGCTTTTAGTAGGTTTTTCAGTGCATGCGGTGCGTGTTCAAGCTTTTAAATTAGTCCCTGGATTTAGAAATTGTATGTTATTGTTCTTTTACCTTTGATGTTACACTCTTTACAAACTCAAAAAATCTGAAAATTCAACAGAGGAGGCTGAAACTCAATGATGAGGATAAAATACTGTCAGGAAGAGTAAATCACTTTCTTAGGAAATGAATAAGTAGACTGCATAGATAGATTAGGCCTTTATAGAGGTTAATTTGCCATTACGGTATGTGGCCTAAGTGAAGAGGCCATTCTATTTACAAGTTATCTTTTAAAAGTCCTCGAGTTATATAAGTTTACTTAGAAGAAAAAAAACTCTTCTTCGCTTTTGTCACTTCGCAAAGGTTCTGTGAAAGAATTCAAGGATATTGCAGAGGAAAATAAATACTTTTTAAATGTGGCCCGTTCCTTTTCATACTCACACTCAGGCTGTGTGGCCACCTTGATGGGTTGAGAACTCTCTCCCGGTCCCCATTCATTGTAAGCCACAACTCGAAAGGTGTACATGGCTTCTGGCTTCAGGTTTCCCACAGTGAGCTGAAGGGACCCAGGCTGTGTTGTATTCAATGCTCGTTCCCTGAGAAATCAAAGTTGCAGAGAAAGATTATTCCAAAAAGAATACCTTCAGCCAAAATCTGTATTTGATGTGCAAGAGTAGTGAGGTGAACCAAAAGGTTGCTCACTCATCTAATGTTGACTCTGGGACATAATTCAAGACCTCAGACTTTCTATAGAAAATAAACTAATTGGAAGGACCTACAAATAAATGTTGCAAGGATTCTGGGGAGTTTAAGATTATGTCATTTTCCATGAAACTTGCAAACGAAAGTCTTTTTCCTCGACACTTTACAATTTGGAATTCAAAACCCATGAAAAACAAGGAGCTATTAAAATAAGGAGAAACATCTGGAATGTAGACAGGAAGACGAGTTTTGTAAACATCCGGCTAATGACAGAAATCAAGGTTTCAATTATTCCACAAATCGGTCTTTGTCAGTATTGCCAACAAATGCATTTATGCATTTTCTCTCATTGTATGAAAGGAAAACGCAGATGCTTAGTGTTCTATGTATGGAGCCTGAGTCCCTGTGGTTACTTTAAGTGCAATTAGTGAAAGGAAGTAGATTCCTTCCTGCGTGAAGAGAAACTGTAACATATGCCTGTTTGTCTTGCTCTTCAAGCCACATCTCTATGTGTTCAATATCAATACATTTATAAACTAAAAACTTCCTCAGTGTTGCAAACTAATGAATTAATCTACTGATCATGGTTGCATTTATAGTGCGTATTAAGAGATGACAAACCGTTTGGATATGGATGCTGACATTTTAGAAATGGTAACTATTGAAATATTCTTTAAGGACACACATAATTCTACACCTTCTGAACATTCTAGATATCCTCATTGGAACTTAACATATAGCTGATTGAACTGAGTGAAGAAGGCACTTCCTCTAAGATTCTCAATTGTTTCTCAAGGTTTCTATATCTAGATAATATCTCTTGCTTCTCAGTGGAATTATACGTACACTTTAATTTTGCCATTCAGATATGTTTTGGTTTTGGACATATTTAAAATAAAATATCTTTTTCTGCCAGGGAAAATTAGATTTTCAAAAAGTAAAAGTTCTAAGTGCATGAATGATGATGATTCCTGGGCATATCTACACTCTTAATATGACTGATGGCAGAGACTGGCTCGCTTATCCTCAAACCCGAAATTTCTGCTTCATGTACTAGACCGTATTTTCCGGCTTCCCTGAAGTCTAGTTGAGGCCTTGTGACTGAGTCTCATCAAGAGGTTGAGTGTATGTGATGTGATGTGTGCTGATTCCAGGCCTGGCCTAAAATAAACTGCACATGGGTAATTCACCATGTTCTCTTCTTCCACCTGTTGTCTTGAGGTAGGGAAGCATGATGACCTTAGAAGCCATATGGGTGATGATGGAACAATCAACATTTGTAATAATTCTAGAGAAGAGCTGGGAAAAGAACTGACAATCAGTAACATCCCTTCCATACCTTATAGAGTCAGAAATAGTTCTGAGCCATTATATATTTTAGGGCTTATTTGTTATACGGGTTACCATCATTTTAACTAGCACTGCTAGTATTTAAAATATGCACCCTGAGTGGCTGCCAGGAGCTAAGTGATGGGAGAATGGGACGTTAGTGTTTAATAAGTAAATAATTTTTTTCTTTTTTTTTATTATACTTTAAGTTTTAGGGTACATGTGCACATTGTGCAGGTTAGTTACATATGTATACATGTGCCATGCTGGTGCACTGCACCCACTAACTCGTCATCTAGCATTAGGTATATCTCCCAGTGCTATCCCTCCCCCGCTCCCCCCACCCCACAACAGTCCCCAGAGTGTGATATTCCCCTTCCTGTGTCCATGTGATCTCATTGTTCAATTCCCACCTATGAGTGAGAATATGCGGTGTTTGGTTTTTTGTTCTTGCGATAGTTTACTGAGAATGATGATTGCCAATTTCATCCATGTCCCTACAAAGGACATGAACTCATCATTTTTTATGGCCGCATAGTATTCCATGGTGTATATGTGCCACATTTTCTTAATCCAGTCTATCATTGTTGGACATTTGGGTTGGTTCCAAGTCTTTGCTATTGTGAATAATGCCGCAATAAACATACGTGTGCATGTGTCTTTATAGCAGAATGATTTATAGTCCTTTGGGTATATACCCAGTAATGGGATGGCTGGGTCAAATGGTATTTCCAGTTCTAGATCCCTGAGGAATCGCCACACTGACTTCCACAATGGTTGAACTAGTTTACAGTCCCAGCAACAGTGTAAAAGTGTTCCTATTTCTCCACATCCTCTCCAGCACCTGTTGTTTCCTGACTTTTTAGTGATTGCCATTCTAACTGGTGTGAGATGGTATCTCATTGTGGTTTTGATTTGCATTTCCCTGATGACCAGTGATGATGAGCATTTTTTCATGTGTTTTTTGGCTGCATAAATGTCTTCTTTTGAGAAGTGTCTGTTCATGTCCTTTGCCCACTTTTTGATGGGGTTGTTTGTTTTTTTCTTGTAAATTTGTTTGAGTTCATTGTAGATACTGGATATTAGCCCTTTGTCAGATGAGTAGGTTGTGAAAATTTTCTCCCATTTTGTAGGTTGCCTGTTCACTCTGATGGTAGTTTCTTTTGCTGTGCAGAAGCTCTTTAGTTTAATTAGATCCCATTTGTCAATTTTGGCTTTTGTTGCCATTGCTTTTGGTGTTTTAGACATGAAGTCCTTGCCCATGCCTATGTCCTGAATGGTAATGCCTAGGTTTTCTTCTAGGGTTTTTATGGTTTTAGGTCTAACATTTAAGTCTTTAATCCATCTTGAATTGATTTTTGTATAAGGTGTAAGGAAGGGATCCAGTTTCAGCTTTCTACATATGGCTAGCCAGTTTTCCCAGCACCATTTATTAAATAGGGAATCCTTTCCCCATTGCTTGTTTTTCTCAGGTTTGTCAAAGATCAGATAGTTGTAGATATGCGACGTTATTTCTGAGGGCTCTGTTCTGTTCCATTGATCTATATCTCTGTTTTGGTACCAGTACCATGCTGTTTTGGTTACTGTAGCCTTGTGGTATAGTTTGAAGTCAGGTAGTGTGATACCTCCAGCTTTGTTCTTTTGGCTTAGGATTCACTTGGCAATGCAGGCTCTTTTTTGGTTCCATATGAACTTTAAAGTAGTTTTTTCCAATTCTGTGAAGAAAGGCATTGGTAGCTTGATGGGGATGGCATTGAATCTGTAAATTACCTTGGGCAGTATGGCCATTTTCACGATATTGATTCCTCCTACCCATGAGCATGGAATGTTCTTCCATTTGTTTGTATCCTCTTTGATTTCATTGAGCAGTGGTTTGTAGTTCTCCTTGAAGAGGTCCTTCACATCCCTTGTAAGTTGGATTCCTAGGTATTTTATTCTCTTTGAAGCAATTGTGAATGGGAGTTCACTCATGATTTGGCTCTCTGTTTGTCTGTTGTTGGTGTATAAGAATGCTTGTGATTTTTGTACATTGATTTTGTATGCTGAGACTTTGCTGAAGTTGCTTATCAGCTTAAGGAGATTTTGGGTTGAGACGATGGGGTTTTCTAGATATACAATCATGTCGTCTGCAAACAGGGACAATTTGACTTCCTCTTTTCCTAACTGAATACCTTTTATTTCCTTCTCCTGCCTAATTGCCCTGGCCAGAACTTCCAACACTATGTTGAATAGGAGTGGTGAGAGAGGGCATCCCTGTCTTGTGCCAGTTTTCAAAGGGAATGTTTCCAGTTTTTGCCCATTCAGTATGATATTGGCTGTGGGTTTGTCATAGATAGCTCTTATTATTTGGAAATATGTCCCATCAATACCTAATTTATTGAGAGTTTTTAGCATGAAGGGTTCTTGAATTTTGTCAAAGGCTTTTTCTGCATCTATTGAGATAATCATGTGGTTTTTGTCTTTGGCTCTGTTTATATGCTGGATTACATTTATTGATTTGCGTATATTGAACCAGCCTTGCATCCCAGGGATGAAGCCCACTTGATCATGGTGAATAAGCTTTTTGATGTGCTGATGGATTCGTTTTGCCAGTATTTTACTGAGGATTTTTGCATCAATGTTCATCAAGGATATTGGTCTAAAATTCTCTTTTTTTGTTGTGTCTCTGCCTGGCTTTGGTATCAGAATGATGCTGGCCTCGTAAAAAGAGTTAGGGAGGATTCCCTCTTTTTCTATTGATTGGAATAGTTTCAGAAGGAATGGTACTAGTTCCTCCTTGTACCTCTGGTAGAATTCGGCTGTGAATCCATCTGGTCCTGGACTCTTTTTGGTTGGTAAGCTATTGATTATTGCCACAATTTCAGATCCTGTTATTGGTCTATTCAGAGATTCAACTTCTTCCTGGTTTAGTCTTGGGAGAGTGTATGTGTCAAGGAATTTATCCATTTCTTCTAGATTTTCTAGTTTATTTGTGTAGAGGTGTTTGTAGTATTCTCTGATGGTAGTTTGTATTTCTGTGGGATCGGTGGTGATATCCCCTTTATCATTTTTTATTGTGTCTATTTGATTCTTCTCTCTTTTTTTCTTTATTAGTCTTGCTAGCGGTCTATCAGTTTGGTTGATCCTTTCAAAAAACCAGCTCCTGGATTAATTTTTTGAAGGGTTTTTTGTGTCTCTATTTCCTTCAATTCTGCTCTGATTTTAGTTATTTCTTGCCTTCTGCTAGCTTTTGAATGTGTTTGCTCTTGCTTTTCTAGTTCTTTTAATTGTGATGTTAGGGTGTCAATTTTGGATCTTTCCTGCTTTCTCTTGTGGGCATTTAGTGCTGTAAATTTCCCTCTACACACTGCTTTGAATGCGTCCCAGAGATTCTGGTATGTTGTGTCCTTGTTCTCGTTGGTTTCAAAGAACATCTTTATTTCTGCCTTCATTTCGTTATGTACCCAGTAGTCATTCAGGAGCAGGTTGTTCAGTTTCCATGTAGTTGAGCGGTTTTGAGTGAGATTCTTAATCCTGAGTTCTAGTTTGATTGCACTGTGGTCTGAGAGATAGTTTGTTATAATTTCTGTTCTTTTACATTTGCTGAGGAGAGCTTTACTTCCAAGTATGTGGTCAATTTTGGAATAGGTGTGGTGTGGTGCTGAAAAAAATGTATATTCTGTTGATTTGGGGTGGAGAGTTCTGTAGATGTCTATTAGGTCTGCTTGGTGCAGAGCTGAGTTCAATTCCTGGGTATCCTTGTTGACTTTCTGTCTCGTTGATCTGTCTAATGTTGACAGTGGGGTGTTAAAGTCTCCCATTATTAATGTGTGGGAGTCTAAGTCTGTTTGTAGGTCACTCAGGACTTGCTTTATGAATCTTGGTGCTCCTGTATTGGGTGCATATATATTTAGGATAGTTAGCTCTTCTTGTTGAATTGATGCCTTTACCATTATGTAATGACCTTCTTTGTCTCTTTTGATCTTTGTTGGTTTAAAGTCTGTTTTATCAGAGAGTAGGATTGCAACCCCTGCCTTTTTTAATTTTAACTGGAGACAATGAAAAATTCTGTGGACAGATGGTGGTGATGGTAGCACAACAAGGTACATGTGCTAATACCATAGAACTGTACACTCAAAAATAGTTAAAATTGTAAAATGAAAGATATGTTTTACCACAATAGAGAAAAAGCACCCTGTATGAATCTGG
Organism: Homo sapiens; assembly: GCF_000001405.40. Lineage (NCBI taxonomy): Eukaryota > Metazoa > Chordata > Mammalia > Primates > Hominidae > Homo > Homo sapiens. Next base: position 53,173,338 of record NC_000018.10, on the reverse strand, counting down.
ATATAGCCTGAGGTTTAGGCATTCTTTTAGAAGTGCAGTATGAAGTTTCTGGAAGGCTGAATTCCGACTTCTAGGAGAGTAGGGGTCTGGATGAGATTCAATAGTAATCTAAAGTAGGTAAGGCTAAGAAATATGGAACAATGCTCCCATTTGCCACATACCACACTGCTATATTCTACCAAACTAAGATCATTTAGGTCAGCAAATTGCTTTTTAAAAGCAAACCCTCATAATAGAATTGTATGCCTTGTTGTATATAGCTCAAAGAGATTGAGCACATGGAGATGGGGATTTTTGCTTATTTTTGTTTTAGCAGAAGAATTTTTATACCCAGTGCCTCAGGTACCTTACTGATATAGATAGGGTGGTTTTGTTATCATTATTTTACATATAGAAAGTGAGATTTAGAAAAGCAACATGATTTATTCAAAGGCTTCACAGTTAGTGGGTATCACACTTAAGAATGAAATCTGGAACTTCCTCCTCTAAATCTAGTATTGATATCATTCAACAATAGTGGAAAAATAAGGAACTTCTTTGGATCATGGGAACTTTGGGTAAAAGACATGAGGTCCTATAGGGAAAAAGGGGACAATGAGCACTCAGAGACTGCTGAGAGGATCAATTTGTCTATCATCTGCTGTGAATCATTTCAAAGCATCTTTTCTAGACCTTCAAGCAACATTGTTATCAAAGGCCATATTTGCCTATCAAACACCTTGGGTATGTATAAGGAAGGACAGCTTTCATAATTGACTTTATTCTTACAAATACTAAATAAACTGGATGAAATAACTGTGTTCCAAGTCACGCTGGCCATAACCCTTTGAACAGGTATTATTCTGTATTTTATTTTTTAAATAATTTCATTATTTTAGATTCTGGGGTACATGTGAAAATGTGTTACACGGGTATATTGTGTGATGCTGTGGTTTGAGGTATGATTGATCTTGTCATGACCAGGTAGTAAGTATAGTACGCAACAGTTTTTCAACCCTTGCCCTCCTGCCTTCCTCCTATGTGACAGTCCCATGTCTACTGTTGCCATCTATATGTCCCTGAGTACTCAGTGTTAAGCTCTTACTTATAAGTGAGAACATGTAGTATTTGGTTTTCTGTTCCTGCATTAATTTATTTAGGATTATGGCCTCCAACTACATCCGTGTTGCTGCAAAGGGAGTGATTTCATTCCTTGTTAAGGCTGCATAGTATTCCATGGTGTATATGCACCATATTTTCTTTATCCAGAATATATGAGTGCATGGATGTTTTTGTTAGAATTATTTAATTTATTTTGGATATATACCAGTTAATAGGATTGCTGGGCTAAATTGTGGATCTGTTTTAAGTTCTTTCAGGAATCTCCTAATTGCTTTCCATAGTGCCTAAAATAATAAATTTACATTTCTGCCAACAATGTATAAGCATTCCCTTTTCTCTGCAGCCTCACCAGCATCTATTGTTTATTATTTTTTTTTTTTTAGTAATAGCCATTCTGACTGATGTGGAATGGTATTTCATTTTGGTTTTGATTTGCATTTCTGACGATTAGTGATGTTGAGCAGTTTTTTCATATGTTTGCTGTTTGTATGTGTTCTTTTGAGAAGTATCTGTTTATGTCTTTTGCTGAACAGGTATACTTTAAAGGAAAGGGACGCAAGAAAATCTGGACATGTCCAGGTAAAAATGTCCAAGATCATGAAATGAAAATATCACTTACATATACAAGAGGATGTTGGATTTCATAATGGGGAAGATTTAATAATCTTCATTAGCCTCCAAAAATTATCCAAAATTAATAATTCATAAAAAATTTATGTATAAACATATTCATTGATATGGACAATTCATACTTTCTCAGTCTTACATAAAGTATAAATAAAGCATCTTTTGAAAATGTTTCCATGATTTTGATCTGTAAAATAGAACCCAGGCAAATGCATTGTGCTTGCTATGTAAATACACCTCCAAGACAACTCTATGGTTCAACCTCTGATCACCTGCTGGTTCTGCCCTGGGTTGATCACTGGTTTCCACAATGTGGGCTCGTAGTGGTTTTAAACCATGGTTTAATCTAACCATTTCAATTTTATGTGCCACTTTCCAGAAATCTGCTTATCATATCAAAGGGAGTTTGCATCTAAACACTATGTAGGCCAGGCACAGTGGCTCACACCTGTAATCCCAGCACTTTGGGAGGCCGAGGCAGGCAGATCACTTGAGGTCAGGAGTTCGAGACCAGCCTGGCCAATCTGGTGAAACCCTCTCTCTAGTAAAAATACAAAAATTAGCCGGGCATGGTGGCATGAGCCTGTAATTCTAGCTACTCTAGTGGCTGAGGCACGAGAATCACTTGAGCCTGGAGGCAGAAGTTGCCATGAGCTGAGATCATGCCATTACACTCCAGCTTGGGTGACAGAGTAAGACCTTGTTTTAAATAAACAAACAAACAACAACAACAAAAAACAAACCTCAAAAGCCTATGTAGACTGTGGAGTAAGTAGTTCAGGACTGAGGTAAGTCAGGGGGGCTGTTTCTGGCCTTCACATTAAACTTTCTGAGCCCCAGATTTCTCAAGTACAACATATGTGCTATAAAAATTTTGTATCACAATGTCTGAAAGAATTAAATGAAATGCTGTAGGTAAAATATCTAAAGAAAAATACATGGCACCTGATACTTAATATGGATTCTGCCATAATGGCAGTCACTGCTATTATTTTATAATAACAAAATACCACCACAACTTCATAAGAAATAAATCTATTGCGTCCAAGAAGGGGACTTTTCCACAAAGTATTTAAAACCAGGAATCTGAGGACATAACTTAATGAGAGATATAATCACATAGAAAAAAGCTACATAGATAGGTTTCCCTGACATTGGGGCTTGCCCCCACTCCAAAAAAAATCTTTATTGATATTTTCTATCATATTAATTTTCTTTGCAAAGATAAATCAAAACAAAAAGAGTGAGCATAACTACACACATTGAACAAGTTCCAATAATGAAAATATTCATTTTTAAAGGGCTGGAAACTGCTCTCTGAGGGACACTGAGAAGAAATAGGAGTTCCCTGAGTTCCACAGTACAGCTTGATAGTCTTATGGTATCTGATGTCCCCACTGGTGGATGAGTGTCTGCTGCCAAACTGCTGCGTGGCTTCCCTGTGTTTTAATGGGGTGACATCTAATTGCTAACATTATACAAAAGCATATTGAGAAAATGGTATTTCCTGCCATGTTATCCTTCACAGATTTGTTCAGTTCTAGCCCCAAGGATTCCCACGAGTTTTTAATCACCCTTTCCAGGCTTTAATAGCTGTAAACAAAATATAGCAAACCATTTCCCAACAACTAAGTAACATCTGAGTTTGGAAGGGCAGTTTATTATGTGGGATTTCTCTGGTTCCACTATAGGCCAACACTAGCCACCTAAAGTAAATTTTCCATGAAGCAGTAATTAAGGATTTCCTCTCTGCTCACTGTAGTCCATACCCCTCTGTAAATGGGCAGATAAGCACACTGGGTTCTGAAGAAAAGAGAACAGTGAATAATGAGAAGTTTACCCAATTTTTGGGTAAACTTGTATTGTTCGGCCTCTCACTGCGTTAACAACTCCTGTGGAAGCGGCAGGGACCCCAAGCCTCCTCCCTCTCAGTGATGTTCTCTCCTGTGAATCTGAAGACATAATTACCCTTCAAATATGCAGAACTCAGAGTCATGATCTGTAACACCAGATGGATTGTCAGACAAATCTTCTCCACTTCATTCCTTTCCCCCTAACTCTAAGTTGGCAGTGTGGTGGAGTTAAGCCAAATTCAGGATAAGTCGATTGAAGTAAAGGAATCAAGCCACTTGTGCCTGCCTGAATCCATTCACAGCAAATTTACTCAATGAAAATTCACATAGAGCATCAAATATACGAAGTCTGATTCCTCATGCTAAAAAGTCTGTAGACAACTTGTCCACTTGGACTTTTACAAGGAGGCTATAAGAAGAGTTAGTTAATAAGAAGCGTTAATTTTTTGTGAATGCTAGTTTTAAGAACTTTGAGTTACTTGATTAAAGTGTCTTGGAAAATAAATGTTTCTACTCTAAAAGCATGCAGTTTGACCCACTAACCATAATGTTCCTGCTTTACTGAGATCAGTCCCTGTAACTCTTAAGCACTGACATCTTTTGAAGCATGAAGTCAAGCATGGCAACATGCGATGCACCATTGTGCAATTTACATTGAGATCTAATTCTGGTAGAGTATATTCTCCTGTGCCTAGAACTGGTCCCTGATTTAGTTGGTACTTAAATGTATTGCATTATAATAATAGCTTTTTCTAGCATTTTGCCATTAGTCTTCTCAATTTTTGCTATCATCTATTGACAAAGATACCCTTTTAACACACATAACCTGTCAACTCCATGCCCACAACCTTGTGCTAGCTGCCATTCTAGATTAATGAGATCTCACCTCCATGGAACAAGGTTCAAAGACCTTCACGATGTGGCCCAAAGCTTTGCACAGTCATCTGCAATGAGCCGTCCTGCCCCAGGACCCCTATGTTCATGTCAGCTTCTCTGTCTTTTCTTATTTTGCTTTTCCTTTTCCTTTCATTTCTTTTTATTACACTTTAAGTTCTGGGATACATGTGCAGAACGTGTAGGTTTGTTACATAGGTATACATGTGCCATGGTGGTTTGCTGCACCCATCAACCTGTCATCTACATTAGGTATTTCTCCTAATACTATCCCTCCCCTAGCCCCCCCGCCCGCCCCCAGACAGACCCCAGTGTGTGATGTTCCCCTCCCTGTGTCCATGTGCTCTCATTGTTCAACTCCCAGTTGTAAGTAAGAACATGTGGTGTTTGGTCTTCTGTTCTTGTATTAGTTTGCTGAGAATGATGGTTTCCAGCTTCATCCATGTCCCTGCAAAGGACATGAACTCATCCCTTTTTTATGGCTGCATGGTTTTCCATGGTGTATATGTGCCACATTTTCTTTTTCCAGTCTATCACTGATGGGCATTTGGGTTGGTTCCAAGTCTTTGCTATTGTGAACAGTGCCGCAATAAACACACGTGTGCATGTGTCTTTATAGTAGAATGATTTATAATCCTTTGGGTATATACCCAGTAATGGGATTGCTGGGTCAAATGGTATTTCTGGTTGTAGATCCTTGAGGAATCGCTACACCGTCTTCCACAATGGCTGAACTAATTTACACTCCCACCAACAGTGTAAAAGTATTCTTATTTCTCCATATCCTCTCCAATATCTGTTGTTTCCTGACTTTTTAATAATCGCCATTCTAACTGGCATGAGATGGTATCTTATTTTGGTTTTGATTTGATTTGCATTTCTCAATGACCAGTGATGATGAGCCTGGAGTTACCTTCTCCTGACTCACACTTCTGACTCTGTTTGGCAAAAGCTTGTTTCAAATGAAACCCAATTGGAATCCAATTCAAAGGAAATGTTTAGCTGAAACTTCGTACCCTCATGTCTTCAAACCCAGTACCATTAAATGCTCTCTTTTGTGTTTTCATTGCTTTCTGTTTATACATCTAGTGTATTATGTATCACTTTGTATTAATGGACATGCATGTTTCTTTGACTTCACTGTAAATTATTTAAAAAGAGAAGCCATATTCCATTTATATTTTATTCACACTTAGCATATAGATTCACTGAGCATAAAAAAATGGCTACATTGCTGGGGCTCATAATTTTTTAAATAAATGCATAAATAAATGTGAAATTAAAAGAGAATAATTACATAAAATCTCCACATAATGTGACCTTAGAAATGCCTAGAAAATTGGATTCTATTCCTTGTTCCATCCCCATTTATTTCGGTCATCTTTGGCATGTCACTTCACCTTCCTGGGTCTTGATTTCATTATCCGTAATGGAGAGTGGGATCTACTTAAAGAAACCTCACTACTCTAATACTCTTCATTAGGAATAAAAAATAGAAAATCTCCTGTATCTACAAGTGTTTGTGTTAGCTGAATTCAGCACTTCTATTTTTACATTTCAGAAGTAGAGTTTAGAGATTAAACATGATTCTGCTTCTTAGTGGATTATTTGTAGCAAGTCTCTAACATGCATTTTTAGTAAATACATATCATCTTGCCTAAGTGCCTCAGAGTGTTAACATTTAGTTACAACTTGTGAGTTGAGCAACAAATGCTGCCTTGAGGGGTCAAACACCTAATTAGTTGCTTCAGGGAGGAAGAGTTACATTAACCTTCCTTTGTAGAGAAGGAGTTACGTTATTCTTAGTGGAAAGATTTTTAGCATCTCCTTTTTATCTCTTCTACTTTCATTCATTATTTCTTTAGTGAATGCCAGAATGTTATAACAATTAAAAGATTTCAAAACTGAAACATGGTGTTTAATGAAATAGGACTCAAAGTGATAGCAGAGTGATAACCACCCAAATGTCACATTCCTTATTACCCTAAAACCATAGGTTTGGAAATCAATGCTATCTTAGAGAGAAAGGTTTCAAGATGTTTCACTGCCAGATAAAAGCATAATGAAGACTGGAAATGTCTCTTTTTTGTTTACCTCTCTTGGTTAGAGGTATTTCCACTAAGTTTTGGTTAAAAATTGTTTTTTATTGAATTGTTAAAAAGGATAAATCTAGGAATGAGCTTTTTAAAAATGTGCTTTCCTGTAATCTCTGCTTCAACATCTAATACACACTTGAGACTAGTTACGTAACAAATGGCTACTGTAACTGCAAATAATGAGCTATATCTTGGGAGTTGGGGTGAAACAGATTTTGATTTCAAATTCTTATTTTGTTTAGTTTCAGCGTCTATCCACATGATAAATGTGACTGAGTTCTGGATTCTTTTATCATTCTGTTTTCTTGGGATGGGCCATCTTAACCTTCTCTAGCTGTAGCGAGCATCCACATGCTGACACATTCCTGATACATATCTCTGTCCCAATCCTCTCCTTTGAGCTCCAGATTCCTATTTCCACGGCCCTTGGGGACATTCCCATTTGAAGGTCGTAAAGGTATGTCAAGCACAACTTGTCTGAAACTGAATTTATGATCTTCATTTCAAATATGGACCTTTCCAGCATCCTAATCTCAGCAAATTGCACAATGATCTCTACACTGGAATATACCAGAAACCAAGTGACTGTCCTTGACAACCCCTACTCCCTCACCATTCATGTGCAATGCATTATTCAGTCCTGTCAGTTTTGCCCCCTAAATATCTACAAAGTTCTCTCTGCTGCTCCATCTCCACTGACATACCCTTAGACCAAGCTACCATCTTTTGTTTGGACTTCTGCAATAGCCTGCTGAATGACTCTGGCACCCACCTGGCTGACCTCTGCTCTAGTTTCCACTTTCTAGTCATAGTCATCTTTTGAAACTGCAAGTCTGATTATGACATAGACATCATGCACACATTTCATAAATGCTCTCACAGAAGCATGTTCCTTTCCACTAAAGCTCTTAACTAAGTGTGTGGTTATACATTCATCAGTAAGACGAACCTTTCAAGATTAACTCCTTCCAGAGAATCTGCTGGGTTCTCTTCTATTTTCAATACACTGCTGGACATGGACATATAGTCAACTCACATTCAATATTTGCTCATTTATATATGACATTTGTGGATGGCATGTTTCATTTTTCAATATGCATTAAGTCCACTGGAGAAATAAAATCATTATTCTCTCATTCAATGAATTAAAAACACTTTGAGGTACAGGGCCATGATTTTATATTTTACAGAGAAGCAGAGTGGGGCTCTAAGAAGAAGGCTAACTTTGCCAAGCTTTAAGCCAGGGCCAGAATGTCATGCTTAGGATTCTGAGTCTTGTTCTTTTTCCATCACAATATGTTCCCTCATGGATAACAAGCTCCATCAGCTGCAGAGTCCTCAACTCTGAAGAGCGGGGAAAGAATATGTAAACACCACATCAAAAATGTAATATACCATGAATTCTAAAAGGAATCCTCCATGTCAGTCAGAAAAAGCTGGTTTCTAATCCTGAACAGTGAGCAGAGGTTTTCTGAGGCAGCATAAAGCAATGTGAAGCATATATTGCTGCAAGTTGGAACACCTAGTTCAGCCTTTGTTCTGCCACAAAACAGTGTGTGACCTTGAGCAAGTCAGGGGCTATCTTGGAGCCTTCTCTGCTTCATTTGCAAAATGAAGATACCAGTCCCTTATCTGCCTACCTCACAGTATTATTGTGAGGATTAAATTGAATGATGCTCATAAAATTGTTTTAATTCTCTCATCTGCACTCCCACTGTATTTTATATGGAGCTTTTTCAGAAAATGTATTTCACTTTGTATGGCACAGTGAAGAGATCACTGGACTAGAAACCTTGCATTGAAATCCCAGTTCTAATATTTACTATTAGTGTGGTTTCTTAGCAATATTTTTCAGTCTTTCTGAACAGAGAAAGGCATACTCATTTGTGAAATGGAGATCATCATAAATACCTTATCTGAGGATCAAATGTGTGAATGCTTATGAAAGTAATAAAGTCCTCTCTAAATAAGAGTTAAGAAACACCCTTGTATTTCAGTTATTTTAATTTTCAACCCACATGATGATTTGCACATGGCATTAGCTAATAAGAATGGAATGTTGTGGGTGCACCAAAGAGCAAGTGTTTTAGGTGCTTTTATTTAACTTCATGTAATACTCATCACAACCTTACACATCAGATACTATTATTATTCCATGTGAGAAAACAAAGTCACTAGTAATTGGCCCAAAGTCACACAGATGGTAAAATAACAAGCCAGGATTTGAACCCAGGTGGTTCAATTCCACAGCCACATAGCCTTACCCTTTTGGCTATACTGTGTTATACTTCATAAGTCATTTTAGTTACAAGTGAGAGGTATAATGTTCTTTTTATATATATAAAATACAAAAACTTAGCCAGGCATGGCGGCATGCACCTGTAGTCCTAGCTACTCAGGAGGCTGAGGTGGAAGGATCCATTGAGCCCAGGAGTTTGAGGCTGCAAGTCAACTATGATCACACCACTGCACTCTATCCTGAGCAACATAGCAAAACCTCATCTCTCAAAATAAATACAACAATAAAAATTCACTAGTGTGTTTTATTAGTGGTAAATAAATAATGCAAATCAACTTAGCCATTAAGTCAAAAAATTATTGGAATGAAACATATAAAAGAATTGCATGTCATAATTCTATAAATATCAAGAACATTTAGTTCTCTTGCAGGTTAATCCACTAAGGAAGCAAGATGAAAAAGGGATTGAGAGTGCCTGCTTTGGACTATGGTCTGCACGAAATTCTAGTTCTACTACTTACTAGCTGTATAATGGAGGTATAAACTTCTTCTTTAAGTCTCATCTTGGTAAACATACTTTATGTAAGATGCTTAGCCTAGTATCTGGCAGAGTAAGTGCCCAATAAATGCTTGCTGTCACTGTTGATGATAAAACTGTGGCCTTGGGCATGGACTTTCCTCTGATCATTGGTCTCTGAATGTTTAGGTAGCAGGAAGTTAGACTATGATCTCAAAGATCACTTTTCATTCCTAATGATTTTTAGGTACTAAGAGGGGATAGCTAGATATCTATGAGGCAATTACTTCACTGTGAATTCTAGCTTTCATGTTTTGGAATATATGCTGCTCTTTAACTTATGAAATAAAAGCACCCCAAGGGGTTGGATAAAAAGATTTGAATTATGGCACTTGCATTATCTACACCATTAACAAGTCAGAAAGATTCGTGATGATCTGAGCTAGAATAACTTTCCTGACAAAGTTATTGCTAATCTGAGATAAATGTTAAATTCACAACGTTTTAGAAAGGTATTGTGTCAAGCAGCTAAATAAACCTACATGAACAAACAAACATCACAGCTAACTGCTAAGAGACAGTGGCATATTTTATGGCTCTAGTTGAAAGCCAGAAAAATCAAAGTAAATGGAGATATTAGAATAAAATTTTAATATCAACTTTTTTTGGAATTAAAGTTTTTATTGAACTGTAGTCAGCTTATTCATCCTCCTCAGTAACACAATTTATTTTACTGGGTAAGAAAAAAATCTATCGAGAATATCATATCTCTCTGCCACCTCTACCATATCAGTTCTGATCAGTTTATGTTTACATGAGGCATGATACTGGACACTTGAGCATGAAATTATGAATAAGAACTAGTCTTAATCATCAGGGAAAGAAATACACACGTACTCAGCCAAACATCAAACTTGATAAAAGGTGGCCAAGGCCATAACAGTAATGTAATCAAAATGAAGGGGTGAGATAAAGGTGAAATTGATGAATTCTGAGTTGGAGGACTATGGAGAGTTCCACACAGTAGTTGACATTTCAGCTAAGGCATCAAGTCGAAAAATATTTAGTGAGTATCTATAATGTGCTAAGCACTGTTCCAGGTGCTGAGAATAGCTCAGTGGATAAAGAAGATAAAAACAGCCTTGCCCATAGGAATATTATATTCTGGTGAGGAGAAAGGGGATTAGGGAAACAAAATTTGTAAGTACAAGGTAATAAAGGCTATGGAGAAAAATAAAAATAAAAAGTACATAGTGAGTGCCAGGGATCAAGAAAGGCTTCCATGAGAACGTGACATTACAGCAAAGATTTGGTAGAAATTAGGGAATGATCCATGTGGATCTCTGAGGAGAAGAACATCCTAGGCAGACTGAAGAGCAAGCGCAAAGATCTCAATAGAGGAAGATTCTTGAATATTTAGGAAACATAAGGAAAGTGCTACGTGATGAGGTTAGAGAAGTAACATGAGAAAAAGGCAAGGAGTTCTGTTAATTCTGTGAATGAGAAAAACAGTCATCACAGGGTTTTGAAGCAGAGGAATGACATACCCTAACTTATCTTTTAAAAGGTTTACTCCAGCTGCTATGGTAAGACTAGAATTAGGAGATTACTGCAATAGTTCCAATGAGACTTGGTTGTACTTAAGAAGTGGGTAAGAAGTGGTAGGTCTCAGTATATATTTTGTTTCTGGTCTTAATTTTTTTTTTTTTTTTTGAGGCAGAGTCTTGCTTTGTCACCCAAGCTGGGGTGCAGTAGCACGATCTCGGCTCACTGCCATCTCCACCTCCCAGGTTCACGCAATTCCCCTGCCTCACCATTCTAAGTAGCCAGGATTACAGGTGCGTGCCACCACGTCCAGCTAATTTTTGTATGTTTAGTGGAAACGGGGTTTCATTATGTTGGCCGGGCTGGTCTCGAACTCTTGACCTCAAATGATCCACTCACCTCGGCCTCCCAAAGTGCTGGGATTACAGGCGTGAGCCACCATGCCTGGCCATGTTTTGTTTTTATTTATTTGATTTTAATTGTTTATTATGAAAATTTAAACAATATAAAACTAGGCAGAATAATATGATGAAATACTTTATTTCCATAACTCAGCTCAGAATATAAAATCATAACCAGCCTTCCAATATTATTTTATAACAAAACCTGGTATACTATTTCATGGATTCAGGATATATTTTGATGGTACTGCCAAGAGTTGATGACGGATTTCATAATAAGAATTAAAAATTAACTACGAGCTATGAATTATTTCAAAGATTTTGGCCTGATAATGAGAAATATGAAGATTTCAAAAGTGGGGGGAACTCTGGAATGATGAAGTATTTGGTGGGGAGGAATTGGGGTTGAAGCATAACAGGTATTTGGTTTTATTCATAAGTTTTAGATGCTCGTGGGATATTGATGTTGAGAAATCAAGTAGGAAGACGTGTATATGAGTATGGATTGCAGGTAAAAAAGTTAGGACCAGAGATACAAATTTGGAACACATCAGCATGTTCACAGAATATAAAGTCAAGAAGTGAATGAAAGGCTTGAGTCCTGAAGCAATTTGATATGTGCAGATCAGATAAATTGGGAGTAAAAAGTAAAAAGAGCCTGAAAATGAGTAGCCAGAGTAGAATGAGGAGAGCATGTGCAATAGGAAACTGAGTGAATGAGTTTCACCGAAGGAGAAATGATCAAATGTGACAAAATTTGCTGATTGTCCAAGTAATGTGAAGACCAGGAATTGACTACTGGGTTAGCAACAGGAGGTTATTGGTGAACCTTGATAAGAGCAGTTGCTATTACATTCTAGGAACAAAATAATTATTGGAATATGATGTAAGACATTGGAGTGAAGTTAGACAATTCAAGGAATATTCCTATGAAAGAGAACAGAGCATGGAGTGGTAGAGGAGAGAAAAGTGAAATTGAAGCAAAATTTGTTGCAATGGAAGATTCGACTACATGCTGACATGCTGATAGGTGTAATTCACCTTAGTGGGAGAAACTGATGGCACAGAAGAGAGAAAGAATGGCTGAAGATTTGCTCTTTTATAAGAAAAGATGGGATCTTGTGCACAAGTGAAAGTTTCGCTTTAAAGAGTACAGGCAGTTGTTTTATGGAAATTTGAGGAAAGACAGATTATACGCTTTAAGACAAACTTGGGTGAAAAAAAAGTCACATATGAAAGCATGTAGAATTCCCCTTCTTATATTACATGAAATTAAAATCAAGGTCAGCTAAGAGTGGGGGAAAGGCGGAAGGTGTTGGAGATTTGAGAAGAGAGAAAAAGTCATGAAATATCATTAGGAGCGTATGTGAGAGAGACTGCCTGATAAATGTAGTATAATTGCCAGTAGCATTAATGGGCAACAGGAGATTAGTAGCTATGAATTTAAAGTGAGACGAATCAGCCCAGTTACACCTTTCCATCTAGCTATATTCAGCTACAAGAGCACAAGTAAAGAGTAGGTAGAAAGTTACATTTACTTGAGTTGGTTTTTGCTAAGCAAGTAATATGAAATGAGAGTAGCAGGCAAAACATTGATGCAAGTCAGCAAATATTTAATTGCTGTGTTTACTGGCCATGGAACTGTAGCTATGGAATAAGTGAAGGAAAACAGGAACTATAAGGGATAGGATCAACAGATTGCAGATCTCTATGAAATCAAAGTTTCGTTGTGTTCAGAGTCCTAAATAAAGGATAGTAAGACAAGAGTCTGGAGAGTGAGGCAAGAATATGATTTGAAACTCAGATAATGAGAGGTTGCAGTGATTGGTGTTGTCAAGGTTCATGGTATAACCATGGCAGCAAGTAGCCAAGGGGGTATAGAGGATTGATGCTTAGGATTGAAAGGTAAGAACAAGCTCAAGAGAAGAGGAAAGGACAAAATTGTATGATAAGCAGGCCTGTGAACAATTATGAAAATAAATGGTTCACCCAAACATAGCAATTTCAACAATTTCTCCTTCCCCTTCTCCTTCCCTTTCTCTTCCTCATCCTCCTTCTTCCTATACTTTGAGCCTAAATTTCAACTTCTTTTCCACATTGTCTCTGAGCTCACACTATTCTGAGCCCTTCCATTCTTCCTGTGTGGAGTGACTGCCCTGAATTCTTTATCTGAATTCCCTCAGTCCTCATAGCAATGCTAACAGGTAGAATTTATCTTCCTTTTATTCCTTTTACCAAAAAAGTATTATTCGTATTTAATACATTATTAAATACAGAAGCATCACACATTTGATAAATAGTAGGACCATTTTCAAATCTAGCTCTTGTGACTTGAGTGAAAAAATTTTAACCATTATAGATTATAGAAACCACACTTTTACATATATGCATACAGATAGACAGATATAGATACAGATAGATTGGGGCTAGACTTCCATTGAAAGAAGTCTGAAGTTCCATGTGCATATATTTGTATAGCAGTTTTATTGTATTTAAGAACCAGTCACATTTTGGGGCAGTGGAGTGAGTGATCAAAACTATATTTCAAAAAGGTAACTACAAACAGTGAGGAAGATGGATTGGCAGGTGAGGAGCGATTCCCAGAGATCAGGTAAAGATGTTGAAAATAATAGAATAAAGGAAGCATGGCTGAGCTATGGCCAAGGTAAAGTTGACAAGACTTCACGAGGAATGGTAGTGTTGGGAGGCAGCAGTCAGTAAAACATGGCATGAATTTTTTGCTTGGTCAACGGGGATGGAAGATACTAACATAAACTAAGAAAAGAAAGGAAAAATATACATAAGGAGGAGAAAGTGAGTATGTTTTGGGCAGGTTGAATTTAAGGTACCTCCAGGAAATCCATGTAAAAACATGATGACTGGGCAAGAATCATTGCTTCCAGTTTTCACAGCTGCACACACTGAAATCCAAGGAACTCAGGAGGCATCGTAAGATCACAAATAGTTACAGAGATAACACTAAAACGAACGCCTGTTTCTTCACAGTAATGAATAATCTTAGTGAGCACAAGGCAATATGGGTATGCCTACATCTTCTTCTTTTTTTTTTTTTTTTTGAGATGGCGTCTCTGTTGCCCAGGCTGGAGTGCAGTGGCACAATCTTGGCTCACTTCAACCTCCGCTTCCCGTGATCAAGCAATTCTCCTGCCTCATCCTCCTGAGTGGCTAGGATGACAGGTGCGCGCCACCATGCCCAGCTAATTTTTTGTATTTTTAGAAGAGACAGGGTTTCACCATGTTGGTCAGGCTGGTCTTGAACTCCTGACCTCAGGTGAGCCACCTGACTTAGCCTGCCAAAGTGCTGGGATTACAGGCGTGGAGTCACCTTGCCCAGCCTCTTTCCTTTCATTTTAAAGTAAGGTCAATTTGTAAAAGATAACAGAAACTTTAAAAGGCTAAACTTGAACTTGCTGCCAACTACAAAGGAGAGCATTTTGAGACCCAGCAGGTGAGGAGCTGTACTGCACCACCTGAGCACCAGACTGTCCCATTTTGAACTAAATAACACTTTGGTTTATCCAATGTATATGTCCCCTTTTGAATTCTAAAGATCATCACATGTTTACAGCACTCACAAATTTGAGGGACTAGAACCCTAGGACATGAATCCCTGCTTCTCCTGAAGTGGAACTTATCCAGCATTTACCTCAGACTTAAACATCAAATTTCAAAGTCATAAGATGGTGAAATATCTTAAGGGGAAAATGTTGAGAAAAAAATGCAATGGATTGTAATCTTGAAACCAGATATGTACAGCTCACTTTTGCTTAGTCAATAGTAATATCCACAATAACAACTTCTACCAAGTACTGGACACTGATATGACATTTATATATGCAACTTAATTTAATGCTAGCCAAAGCCTTGCAAGGTAAGTATTATTTTTTTAAATTTGATTTTTTTTTGTTTTTAAAAAACTTTTAATTTTCGTGGGGACATAATAGATGTACATATTTATGGGATACATGATGTATTTTGATACAGGCATGCAATGTGTCATAATCACATCAGGGTAAATGGGGCATCCATCACCTCAAGCATTTGTCTTTTGCATTACAAACAATCCAATTATACACTTTATTGTATATTTTAAGGTAGGTATTATTAATTTCTCCTTATTAAAGAGGAAAATGAGGCTCAGAGAAGTCATGTGGTTTTTTGGAGCTCATGTGATGTCAATGACAGAAATGGGATTACAAGCTAGCCACAGTAGTGCTTTTATACACTGTTCTACTAATATACAGCCTAATTCTGTTCTCTGTTTATGACTCTGAAAACCAAAGAAATAAAAAATTGACATAATATATTCTTACCTTTTTCAAGGATTTTTTATACAGATAATTTCATTAGACTGTGTCAACAACACTGCTTTTTAAAAGTGCACATCTCCACTGGGGAATGAGTGAAGGACATAGTAGAGATTTCACAGCCTCTCCAAAGTTCCTGCCCAAGATCTCCTCCTGCCATTACCCAACCGTATTGACTTAAAGAGATGACCGATTAAGCTGAATTTTATTGGTAGCATCACCTACCTGTTGTCACCTTCTCTGGAGAAAAAGACCGTGAAAGTTTGAATGTTCCCTTTCGCTTCTGCAGGTGGGCGCCAGCTGAGACGGACAAATCGGCTGGAAACCAAGACAGGGACCACATCTCTGGGAGCCGAAGGGAGGACACTGGAGCTTGGGATAGCTAAGGAGAAAGAAGAGGAGGCTATCAGAGGTGTCGCTGCCATAGGTAAGAATTGGGTAGGAAGGCAGAGCCAACCTATTAGCAAGCATCTCCATGTCATAGTCACCTTGATTCTAAAGCAAGGAAGAAAACCAAGGGAATGCACACAGTAAATGGAATAAAAGGTATATTTGTATTTCTTGGGTTTTAAAGTGTGGCTAATGACATGTATACAATTCCACTGCTTAAATGTCCAATTTCTATTACCCATGGGATCTATGACAATAAGGGAAAAAAATGTCTGCTCAGGGAAGAAAAGGGGAGAGAAATTTGGCAATGTGAATTTTTAACAAGCACTTGAGTTCTAGAAAGACCTTAGAACTGTGGATAATATGATTCAATATTGTAAAAGGATTACACCTCTCATGACTTTAACTGATGATAGAAAATGTCTTTGGTAAAAGACAAATCATTTTAAGTAATTAATATTTCCCTGAATTGTTTCTGGAATGAAGCAGAGGTTGAATAAGTAAAAATATGGATAAATGAATAAACGAATGAACACATGTATCTATATTCGAAGTAAAAGACGGTATTACAATTCAGAAGATAAACTCAAGATATACTAAATATAAATCTAAATTTACAGTGACTATTTGTCAAAGATAACCTATTGGCATTTTTAACAGTTCTAAGAAGAGCTAAGAGGGCCATAATCTCCAGGATTTTACAAGGTTGGGGGCAGTTATTACTGTAGAAAAAAATGTAATCATATAGTTTTAACATACAGTAAGACCACATGATTTCTGACAAAGAAAAATCACATACTATAAAACTCTTCTTATGTATTAAAAAATGGTAACGAAGTTGATTCTTTTTTTTTTTTTTTTGGTTGAGATGGGGTCTTGCTCTGCAACCCAAGCTGGAGTGCACTGGCACGATCTTGGCTCACTGAAACCTCAGCCTCCAGGTTCAAGTGATTCTCCTGCCTCAGGCTCCCGAGTAGCTGGGATTACAGGCATGTGCCCCCACGCCTGGCTAATTTTTGTATATTTAGTAAAGATGGGGTTTTGCCATGTTGGCCAGGCTGTGTCGAACTCCTGACCTCAAGTGATCCACCCACCTTGGCCTCTCAAAGTCCTGGAGATACAGGCATGAGCCACCATGCCTGGCCCCAAGGTGATTCTTTAAAATATTCATTTCACAGTTAAAATATGTTTCATAGTAGAAAAGATACAGCCCAAGTAGGTGTACAAACACTGACACCGAGTTTAATAAAGCGCTAATTTGGAAGTCAAACCAATGGAGACCTCAATATTCTATAACATAGCCACAGACTTACCTGTATTCATAAATGCTTCAGGTAACCAAAAAGTTATCACAAAACCTTATTCCTGTCAGTATCTGTCTACATGTTTACACTGTTCTGATACAATTTATTTCTGCCTCAGCCTCCTGAGTAGCTGGGATTACAGGCACACACCACCACACCCGGCTAATTTGTGTATTTTTGGTAGAGACAGGGTTTCACTATGTTGGCCAGGCTGGTCTTGATCTCCTGACCTCAGATGATCCACCTGTCTTGGCCTTCCAAAGTACTGGGATTACTGGCGTGAGCCACCTCTCCCAGCCTGTTTGGAAACAATTTGAAGTGGTTTATTTATGTATTTTTTAAGACCATAGAAAATTAAGAGCAGAAATGAAAAGCTGATGAAAGTTAACAAAAAGTAGAAGCAATTTTCATGGACTTGTTCATAAGAACAACTCTGAATTATTCACAATTAAAAAACTGTCTTTTCACAAATTGGGGGAATTAATAATATGTAAGACAGGGTTTTCTATTACATATGTGCATGTATATTTTGTAGTGTGTGTCTGCTTGGGTGTGTGTGAATTCATAATTCAGCTTTGCTGTGATAACTCTGTTTTCTTTATGTTTGTTAAAGTTCTCAAGTCTAGGGAATACGTGTTTCATCTCGACAGGTGATCTCTAGCCACAAATCACAGGTACCCATTTGCGGATATAAAATCTTCAAACCGGCTTTTGTGGTCCATTTTCCCTAGTCTTTATCAAAGTCAGTCTTCATTCTTGCATTCACTTTGTATAGCGACTGGCTGAGTGGTATCACTGCCATGAGTTAAACTTCTGCTAGCTAGAAAAATTCATCTGGGTAGTGGAAATACCCCATTTTCTAATGGTTCCAGAAACATTATCGATATACAATTCTTACTAGCTATACAGAGAAATAGAGGTTTTAAAGAATGGCAAAAAAAAAAAAAGTATTCAAAGTTATTTCTGACTCCATAGATTCTTTGACTATTTCTTTGTAGATAAAATTTCGCCTTGCTCTCTGGATCAGTACAGTATTTTAAATAAATGGAAGAGTGGCAGTGAGTTAGTCAATCTTTTATAGCAGAGTGGTGAGGGAGAGGAAAAGATTGATGCCTGGGGATGGCGTATCTCTCTCAAAAATATGAGTGATATTAAGCTTCTTGACAAAAACTTTTACTTCCACACATCACAGGCAGCTAAGACTAACACACTGGAGTGAATTTATTCTCTCCCTCCCCCTCAGCCTGCTTCTCCTCCTGGGTGATATTCAAGTTGTCCTCTCAGCTGTGCAGCCTGGAAACCCGAAGCCCATCCTTGATTCCTGACTCTCCTTCACTCACCGCATGCTAGGGTTCCCCGCTCCTGAACATCTCATTAATCTACCCACACTATTGCGTCTCCACTGCCATGCTTCCATTGACACCATTGCACTCTCTAACTGGAATTACCACAAGTGTCCCCCAGCTCCTCTGCCTTCCTTAAACTCACCTTCCTCAAATATATTCTCTGTGCAGCATCCAGAATGAGCTTATAAAAATATAAATCTGGTCGTGTCACTCTACTACTTATTTTTCCTCCACAAATCGTCTTCAGGGCAAGCTTCAAACTTCTTAATTAGCTTGCTGGCCTGACTCCTGCTGACCATGGGTCTTGGGTGGCTTTCTCCGTAAACAAGGCTTCAGAAGAGGACTTTTGTTCAAGTACTACATTTGGGAGATGATCCCAGAAATACTGCAGAGAATCAGGAAGTGAGACAGGGCAGGGAGGGACCTATCTGAAGAGTGCATTATCTATATGGCTATACCTGTGGGAAACGGAAGGGCAAATCCCATCGGGGACTCTGGGAGTCAGTACAGGACATGCCTCAGAGTTATTCATCCCTCAGAGTAGTGGATAGGGGTATTTATCTACCTACTCCTTCTCCATCATTTGTTGAGGGTGATTCCAGGGGATTTGCCTTTCCTAAACAATGGCCTAGTGTGTTCCTACAGCAAGACAGAAAATACCTTCGGGCAGAGGCTTGCAGAGGTGCACAGTTAGCAACGTTCAGTAGCTCTGCTCACTCAGCAAATATTCGAACAGCTCAGATCGCCTGTCCTCCTTGTCTAAGCACAGAAGAGAGAGTGGGGAACAACAGACGAAGCCAATGTTCTCATGGTGCTTATGTGGAAGCTCCTTGGCTTCTTGATGCTTCTATATTAAGTATGTTCTCCTCATGCTGAGCCCCCTGCAATTGCCTAGGCCTTCACAGAAGCAGATCCCAAACCTTAACAAGCCCCTCTCACTCATCTGTATAACTCCTACTTTCCCTCTTGGTTTAGTTGAGGTGTTGTTTCCCGTGGAAAGACTGACTGAAAGTATTTAGAAAATATATAAAAACCAAGTAACATAATATTAAAAAGCATGTTTTTAAATCTTTAAAATAATAAATCGTCTTATTGAAAAGTGGGGTTCAACTTGACAAATAATGCAAGAAATACACATTAAAACAGAGTCTGAAAAAATTCTATCGGAGACCACTTTAAAGAAGGTGAATATCTCATGTCGGCCAGGGTGTGGCGCTCTCACAGGCTCTCAGTTGAAGTGTGTGTGAGCACTACATGTTCAGAAGTAAATGTGGCAAAATCCTTTTAAAAAAATTCATAGCATCAGGCCAGATATTCTCATTCCTATAAATTTATTATTTAAAAAATAACAAATCCCTCCTTCATCAGTATATCAATCTGAAATTATAGATAGCACATTTACTCAAAATGTAATACCTCTATAACTTACCAGTTATTAAAAAATGGGAACATTACTAGATTTTTGAGAAACGTATTTTTAAACATATAATTAATTATAACTTGGTGAAAGCTTTTTGAAATTTTCAAGAAGTTAGACAAATAAGTTTTATACGAACAAGAGGGAAGTTTTCCAATCTTTTTCCTCCAAGAGCATCTCACTCCTACATGATGTCAACATCACAAACCAATTGGCA
The DNA here is from genome assembly GCF_000001405.40 of Homo sapiens. Lineage (NCBI taxonomy): Eukaryota > Metazoa > Chordata > Mammalia > Primates > Hominidae > Homo > Homo sapiens. The sequence continues at coordinate 53,153,063 of NC_000018.10, read as the reverse complement.
TCTCCAACCCACCCAGGGAGTGCCAGAGAGGAGGGCAAGGGGCAATGGCAAGCAGGCAGATGCTCCTCCCTCTTTTCTCCTTAGGCTTCAGGGAGTGTCTTCTCACAGAGCTGGTCTAGACTCAGATGGCACAAAGCTCAGCATAGAATTAATCACGGACTCTTTACCTCAGTTTAAACAGGCGTTATATTAAAACGGAGGAACACAGTTTTAACAAAGGAATGGCTTCTTATCTTATACAGGGGAATTAATTTTGTTCTTACTAATCCTCCATGCTTTCTCTCAACAGTAACTTGCCTTCAAATAAGGTCTCAATAAAGAACCAATCAGGACTTCTTTTCTTTGCTCTTGGAGGCCTAATCTCCAGTCTGGCCCTAATCTCTCTGGCCCATTACTGTTGCTATAGCTACAGCTTCTTTATCTGTTGTCATGGAGAAGAGGAGGTGAATTTGCCACACTATAATGACAGTCTTTTTTTTTCTTTTAAGAACATCTTTAAAAATTTTTTAATAATAGCCAAATCCAGGAAAGGGTGATAATTTTTATAGATAACGAAAAGCCAAATATTCATAGTTTTGAAGCCAAAAAATAATATTTTGTTTAGGTCCCCTGCAATAGCCTTGGTAACAATGATGCTATTGGATTAATTTTTTAAATAAAGCTTCAATTTTTCTAGATACCAAGGACTTTTTCTGTCACACGTTATTATACAGTGTTTATGAACATGAATTTTTTTCTAAGCTTATTGATAGTCCACTACCTTCATTCCCTATGATGTATATGAAAGATAAGGGGTACTCATAACAACAAAAATGTTTAATTTACATTAAACCTCAAACAAGCCAATAGACCTATTTCCTTGTTTCATTCCCCATGTTGCTCACTAAAATATTACAAATGTAGCCACCAAATCAACTAGCTGCTTTATTAGCTGCATCTGCTTTATTAGTCTGCATCTTCACCATTTAATAAAAATAATATGTAACTAGATATTGTCAGTGAAATAACAGAAACACTTAATTTTCCTAAGAGCAAACAACTATCATTTCTCCTTTTGATTTTTTTTTCTTGTTGTTCCCTTGACACTAAACTCTAGCTTTTTATTGTCTAAATGAAGAAGTGGATAAACCTAAATGATAGTTAAGTTTTTACAGTTCATAAAGTTATTTCATAAAATTATCAAAAAAAGAAGCATGGTTGTGTATAATTAAAACTTAAAATGAAATAATATTTTTTCTAAAATGTTACATTATTTTCAAAATGGAAAGAATCATGACTTTTGTGGTAGTAGATTAAGAACTTTAGAAAAAGTAAGAAATGTAGATTTTATAAAATAGTTATTTGAAACCATTTTTAATCTTAATGAGATGAAACTTAATGTACTCCATAAAATCTCATTAAATAATCATTTATTTATTTGTTTTTAATTGCCAGATAACATTGTATGCTTTTATCCTGTATAACATGATACCTTGAGGCATATATACATTGTGAAATGGTAAAATCTAATTGACAATGCATTATCTCACACACATAAAATAATGTATTGGATAGGTACATTTTAGATAAAAATGAATAATGAATATTGATGGAATATCTATCATGTTCCTACTGTTACGCATGAAGCTAATAATAATTTATTTTTAAGCCCTGAGTTTTGACCTTAGAGAACAGGCAATTAATTTGAGGACTCAAGATGTACCTGTGTAAGACTATGGAAAAGTTAGAGACAGTCACTTGCTTACAAATGAGTTCCATTCTAGAGTTTGGGTAGAAAAGTTATTTAGACATTAGAACACACCACCTCACTAAATGATTTCTATTCTGTTTCCAGATACCTATTTAATTTGTACATTAACTATCATAATAATAGTGCTATGGAATTGAATCATACCTTGTATGTACTCTTTGATAAAATGAATTTATGCATCCAATTATTAATCCATTCAATGTTAATTGAAGACATACTTTGTGCAAGGCACTGGGTGAGAAGCTGTTCAATCCATTTTCAAATCCCAGAGGGAAAACCAGCTTGGTCATACCCCCTACTCAGCTTGGCTTGACCCTCCAGGATGCATTTGCTGCCACCTCCAACATTACTCCTTCCATATCAGCTATACTTTCTCAGTTGTCTTCAGCATGACAGGGCCTGAAGGATCTAAGCCTGAAAGATACAGTTGAGGGTCTCTGAGAGTGCGGAGCTAGGTTTCAGGAGTGTGCAGAGACTTTACTTTCAGAACAGCCTCCTTGCTACCTCTCAGTTCTCCATGCTGAACTTGCTCAATTCCAGGAAGACCTCATGCTTTCACCTCTGCTACTTTTGTGTGCTGCAAACTCAGCTGGAATACCTTCCTCCAATTGCTTTGCTGCCCTGACGTGGGGGCCTCCTTCAGGTTTCAGTTAGAGTGTCACCTCACTGATCTCCAGCCTGGCTTAGGCCCCTCTACCTGGGTGTTCACAGGATCTGGACAAGACAAACTCTCCTGTCAGGGCACTTCCCTGGACTCCAACAATCCGGTCATTTTTGTTATTGTTGTTGTGATCCTATTACAAATTGTATGCTCTGTGAAAGAAGGAACCAAGTCTAAACTGTTTATCACTTTAATCCTCCATCATTATCACAGTGTATGTTAGCCATATCACAGGTATACATTAAATTATTGCAGGGTCCAGCTAAACGGAAGGCTTTGCAAATTTGTGAGATTATGTTAAGACTTTGGCTGGAACACTCCTTTTCAGAACTCTGTACAGTGGTTGCTTGAGAATATGCACTGGGAGAAGACTGAGCATTACTGCCAACTAGTTATGTTCATTATTATTAATTTGCAGATAAATTACAAAGTAGAATGAAAAACCAAGCTCAGAGGAAGGTTCTAAGGAAATGCAGGTTTGGGGTGAGAACATTTTATTTTGAACCAAATGGAGAAGGGGAAATATATCACAGCCTGCTCTGTCACAGTTTGTCAGCCTTGATCCCTAGAGGAAGCCCTGGTGGCAAGCTTTCTACATTGTGCCAAACAAAGTAGGTGTGTTCACATAACGATGCTTCCTAAGGGAAATAATGCTTTCATTAAGAAGCAAAAAGGAAGCTCGAAAATTTGGTTTGGGCTGACCTTGTATCCAGAAGGGGACCTACGGGTCTGTTATAGAAAGTGTGATTCTTATCCCAGAATCATACAGCAAAGAGTATGGCCAAATAAAAGTTGTATGCTAAAAAGGATTTCCTATGGCCACACAAAGAGATAAACTGAGAAACTAATTTCGGGAAGTATTTTCATCTCAGCAACGATAACTATAGCTCTCAGAGTTTGAGCTCTTTTCAGAAAAAAGGAGGAGAAAAATATTATCTGATAAACTGGCCAACCAATATGTGAGCAACTAAAGGTTTTATGCTCAAATCTGCACATTGTAGGTATGTAAAAACATATATCATATGCTTTTAATAATTTCTTTATTTCCAAGTTGCTTATTTAGGAAAGTGCCTTTTAAAGAGTTTATGAAGATACAGCAAGTACCACAGGCAGCTTGGCGAGGTGGCTAGGGCATCATGTATGTAAATAAATAGATTTGACTAGCGAACTGCAATTAAATGGTATGAACCTTGCTCCCTACTCCAAACTCTGTGACTGTGTTATTTGGAAAGGTATTTAGCCTCTCTGGGCCTTAATTTCCACATTAAAAGTGGATACAAAATATTTAGTGTACAGAGTTGTTAAGTGATAATGAGAAGTGGAGTCTAAGGGCTGCTCACCATACCTAGCATATGATTTGCATTCAATAAACGGCTGTTATTATTGTTATTTGTCTATCTTTAGATCTTGAGAGCAGAAAGCCTATTTCTGCTCGTCCAGTTTCTTAATGGCTGTCTGGAGATGTAGGAACTCTCATAGAAAGGCTTTGGGAGGCGGGGCGTGGTGGCTCATGCCTGTAATCCCAGCAGTTTGGGAGGCCGAGGCGGGTGGATCACGAGGTCAGGAGTTCAAGACTAGCCTGGCCAAGATGGTGAAACCCCATCTCTACTAAAAATACAAAAACTAGCCGGGTGTGGTGGGGGGTGCCTGTAATCCCAGCTATTCAAGAAGCTGAGGCAGAGAATTGCTTGAACCCAGGAGGTGGAGGTTGCAGTGAGCCGAGATCATGCCACTGCACTCCAGCCTGGGCAACAGAGCGAGACTTTGTCCAAAAAAAAAAAAAAAAAGGCATTGGGAAGTTCTGAGCTAGTTTTGAGTCTGGTAGATCAAGTAAGTTGAGGACAAGCATGCTTCGTCTGTGGAAGGAAAGTACGTCGTCACTTGTACATCCTTCTCTACTTAACTTTTCAGGTTGCAGAGAAAAATCTATCATTCATTTTCTTTTTAAAAAATTGTATTGTTCCATATTTCTGCTCCTATAAGACTTTATTTCATTTCAGGTCTCTTTTTTCTCTTTGTATTTTCTTACTAATCATTGCACCCTTTCCATCTGTCACTATTCCAAGGCTTTGTGAGGCCACCTTTAATCATCTTTCTCATCAATGTCTCTTCCTGGCATCTTTCCCCAACTACAGGAGAGTTATGCTTCTACCCAATTGCAGCTCGCTTTGTTTCCACCCTTTCCCTTGAGTTTATGTCATTGAATTCCCAGTCATTGTTTATCCATTCTCCATGCCCAGAGACCCCAAACGTGCCATTTCAATCACTCCCTTGTCACCAGAGTTTCCTCTGGGAATAAAGACTGACAGGCTGTGACAGCTCCCCTCCCACCCTTCATGTGCATCACCATCCTTCCCCTCATCCCAGCCATATGGTGCTTTGTCCCAGGCTGGCAGGCAATCCTGTCCTCTGCCGGTGAAGAACGTCTAAAGAACACATGCGTTGCTGATATAGATCAGTATGTCAGGCTTTAAGAATCAGTGCTTTCTCCCTGCAATTTCCTTTGGTTATGAGACACTACTAAAGTAAAATAGCTGACAAGTTGTGTTGTTAAGGAAAAAAATAATTTTATCAATGCTAGGGAGTTTAATTTTGTATGTGTGTGTTAAACAACTAAATGTTTCCAGTGAGAAACTCAAGTAAAGATACATGGAAGATAATACAACTTAAGTAAGAAGAACTAAAGGTTTAAGCTACTCTCTTTAGTAATGTAGGTCATTTTAAGAGCTCTTTTTACCATTGTAGGATACTAGGCAACTCATTAAAATGGCTCCAATCATACTTGATGGCTAACTTCCAACTCTCCCTATAGGACTTACAATAAATTTTAAAATAATTTACTCAAGGATATGGTGTCAGGATAGCTGTGGAAATGCTCATTTCTAGGATATGTTCATTTCAATCTAAAAAAAATTATCTGAGAATCAGAGTTGCAGAATGACAGGTTCACTAAACACTGTGTTTCAGATAGACAGGATAATAACAGGTGTGTGAGGTGGCACCACAGGCCAAGAATGTACTGGCTGTGTATGGCAGTGAGGTTTATTAAGCATTTGTGTGCAGTGCACTTGGCTCTTACCCCTTGCTACCCATCCCTAAATTTTATAGCCACCAAAACAAATTAAAGGGAAATAAAAATGAAGCAAATAAAAGAGGGTATAAAACTAAGATAAATTATTAGTTATTCCAATTAAGTTCATAGACGTAGAGTATTATGCCACTGTTATGAAGTCACTGCAAAACAAAAGGGGGCATAATATGTATACGAAGCATGTTTCCTTAGATTCCTTTTTGTTTTTAGGTATGACCATCCAGGCCTCTATATTTCTGAGAGAGAGAGAAAGAAAAAGGCCCCGACTACTTCTAGTCCTCTTTCTGAGAAGGAGGACGGTGAGCATGTACTTGCAACCACAGCTGAGTCATCACTCATGTAGCTCATTCTTTTTCTTTCTTAATGTACTGCAGTGAAGAAAATGATATCTAAGCTATCAACCATAGAAGAGGCATATTGACCTGAACCTAGTACTTACACCTTAAATCTATAAAGTAGGACAATAAAAACAATAATCACCAGAGATGATTAATAAAACACATTATATGATCATAAATTGTGGCTGTGCATCAAAGTCAGTATTCCCCCTGGTCACTCTAAATAGAACAATATTAATTCCTCTAGAAAAGATGGGTCTTTTTAAAAGTCTTTTTTAATTTAAAAAAATCATTAAATGTATTATTTACCTAAAGATCCATATTGATTTGAATTATGGTTGATCAATACATCTATTAATTCAAACTATAACACAGCACATGTGGAATACTAAAACATAGGATACAGATGTTCATCCACCATAACAAATGTATCTATTTTAAGTTTAATTCCTTGTTGCTATTGTAGCTGAGGCAAAGCATACGCTTGGCAGGTATTCCTATGTTCACTAATTCTCATCAAGATGTAAGTGGTATGTATAATCAGTGACCTTTTTTTTCTTGAATAAAGTAAAAAGAATTATAGAATTGGCTTTGTAGACAAGGCTTTCTATGAATTGAGTGTTTTTGTCCCTCTACCCTTCAGGTTGAAATTTAATCTCCAATGCAACAGTATTGGGATGTATGGCCTTTCAAAGGTGATTGAGTCATCAGGGCTCTGCCCTCGTAAATAGGAATCATTGCTCTTATAAAAGGACTTGGCAAAGAGTTTGCCCCAGTTTTTGCCCCTTCCATTCCTTCTACCATGTGAGGACACCAACTTCCTGCTCCATAGAGGATGCAGCCACAAGGTGCCATCCCAGAAGCAGACAGCAGCCCTCACCAGACAACCACATCTGCTGATGCTTTCACCTTGTGCTCCCAGCCTCCAGAACTGTAAGAAATAAATTTCTTTTTTTTCATAAATCACCCAGTCTGTGGTGTTTTATTTTATTTTTATTTTTTGGAGACAGAGTCTTGTTCTGTCACCCAGGCTAGAGTACAGTGGCATGATCTTGGCTCACTGCAACCTCTGCCTCCCAGGTTCAAGACTCAGCCTCCCAAGGAGCTGGGATTACAGGTGTGTGCCACCATGCCCAGCTAATTTTTGCATTTTTAGTAGAGATAAGGTTTCATCATGTTGGCCAGGCTGGTCAAACTCCTGGTCTCAAGTGACCCACCCATCTCAGCCTCCCAAAGTGCCAGGATTACAGCTGTGAGCCACTGTGCCTGGCCCAGTCTGTGGTATTTTGTTATAAAAGTACAAAGGACTATATTCTCTTCCAGTTATCAGCTGGTTAAATACCTTCCAGGTGCAGGTACATCAGTCCCTAAAATCACTACTAAGGCTCTATCAAGCTATGAAGCAACAGTAGCTTCCATCTCTCTATTTTACTTCTTCTTTTTCTATTTATTTCTTTCTCTCTTCTTCCCCCTTGTTTTCTAGTTGAAAACAATTCATCCAAATTTGGGACAGAATTTGGAACTCAATGACAGATTCACTATCCAGTTCTAAAAGTAATAGCTGCATCTTAATCCACCTGGGCTGCTATAATAATATCCTTGACTGGGTAATCTATCAACAGCAGAAATATATTTCTCACAATTCTGGAGGCTAGGAAGCCCAAGATTAAGGCACCAACCATCAGAGTCGATGTCTGGTAAGGGCTTCATAGATGACACCCGTTGCTGCGTCCTCACAAGGTAGAAAGGGCAAGACAGCTCCCTTCAGCCCATTTTAGGGCATGAATCGCACTCATAAAAGCAGAGCCCTGGGCTGGGTGCGGTGGCTCATGCCTGTAATCCCAGCACTTCGGGAGGCCGAGGCGGGCGGATCACGAGGCCAGGAGATCTAGACCATCCTAGCTAACACTGTGAAACCCCGTCTCTTCCAAAAATACAAACAATTAGCGGGGCGTGGTGGCGGGCGACTGTAGTCCCAGCTACTAGGGAGGCTGAGGCAGGAGAATGGCGAGAACCGGGAGGCGGAGCTTGCAGTGAGCCGAGATCGCGCCACTGCACTCCAGCCTGGGCAACAGAGCAAGAGTCGGTCTCAAAAAAAAAAAAAAAAAAAAAAAAAAAGCAGAGCCCTCACAGCTTAATCACCTCCCAAAAGGCCCCACCACTTAATACCACCACAATGGGGATTAAGTTTCAACATGAATTTTAGAGGGACGCAAACACTCAGACCATATAGCACACTGGTTCTAAAGATAGCATAATACAGAAAAAGATGAGAATTAGGGGATAAAAGCAATAAAATTTGATGATATGACCTTATTATATTATCTCCTGTTCCTGAATTTCTTCCAAACTGAAAACATTGTAAAAACTTCCCTCTTCTCCCACATGACCATCAAGACACAAATACAGTGGATAATGCCCATAAAGTACCTTGAGTTCAGTTACGTACAGTCTCAAAATATAAAGGAAAACAAATGGCACCAGCCCCTGACTTGACTATTTCACCACCTTACTATATATTGGAAATTCAGAAGTGAATAGATATTGGCTATTTGACATGGTTTGGCTGTGTCCCCACCCAAACCTCATCTTGAATTGTAGCTCCCACAATTCCCATGTGTCGTGGGAGGGACCTGGTGGGAGGTAATTGAATCATGGGGGCGGGTCTTTCCCATGCTGTTTTCATGACACTGAGTAAGTCTCATGACATCTGATGGTTTTATAAGGGGGAGTTCCTTTGCACAAGCTCTCTCTTGCCTGCCGCCATGTAAGATGTCCCGTGCTCTTCCATCATGATTGCCAGGCCTCCCCAACCAGGTGGAACTGTGAGTCAATTAAACCTCTTTCCTTTATAAATTACCCAGTCTCAAGTATGTCTTTATTTGCAGCATGAGAACAGACTAATACACCATTGAAATGGGAAGGGAGTTCTAAGAAAATGTAAAAACCAGAACCCATGAAAAGAAATATTGATAAATATGACTGTATTGAAACAAAAACTTCTACATGAGGAAACATAATAGGGAGATGGAAATATGAATGACAATCTGAGACATTTTCCATATTATTAAAAGCATTAACATCCCTAATATGCAGAGCTGTTACATATCAACCTATTCAAAGAGAAGAAGGTGGTAAGTAAGCTACAGTTAGAAAAGATGATAATAGAAAGGGTCAGCATATGTACCTTTCATTTCAATATCTTTGAATATTCTATTGTAACTTCATCCTCCAAGTAATTATTAATTCCACCAAAGAGAATTATTTCAGTATAATAAATGTCAACATAAGAATACAAAACACTGTGGCCTTCACCTTCAAAGTGTGAAAATTTGTTAAGCTTCAAATGGGATGGAAACAATCATTCTCGCACCTGTGGCTACTTAAAGCAAAAAGTAAATTATATAACACATTCATAAGTAAATATTTTGACAGAAGGAAAAAATTACCTGTGTAAAGTTCACAACTTGATGCCACGCTTCCTGAAACATTTTAAAATTACTGACTATAACATGTAGTTTGCGATTCTGCAGCTACTCTGCAATAAGCATGAAGATAGAGTTACAAAACCTAACTCACTCTTGTCTCTGGTTTCCTGCTGCTCTAGGGTCTGAACACAAACCATAACATGATATTTAAAGAAATTCACTAAGGGATGACTAGAAAATAAGACAAAAATCCTCAAGATGAACCAGAGGTGACTTCACCCCTCTCTGCCATCCAGCTATGTCATGAGCCAAACACGTAAACTATCTGTTCTGGTGTCTAATTCTTTTGGGTAGAGGTAAGGGATAGGAAATCTGGAGATTGTAAGAGTTTTATTCTTAAACTCTTTCTGGGCAACCAACCTGTATTCTCAAAAGGAGGAATCACTGCTATACAGCTGTCAGCACACTGGCTATACTGCCTTCTTAACTATCTAGAGTTGTATTAGATAATTAACACAGAATGTGGTACAATCATGTTAGATCTTAGTCATAGAGTTGATTGCAGCCATTAAAAAAAGAGGTGAGGAGGCTGGGGAGTGGGCTAGATTGATATGCTTGCTTCCAAAGAAAAGAGTATGGAGATGAAAAAATATTAATTTCAGAGTAAAACCCTGGCCAACTCAGCCACCACTTAGTGAGTGGTAAAAGTTATTATCCTCAGTGATGTCATGTGGCTGTCACGTATCCTTGATATTATGTGGCAAGAAGTACACTTCCCCTCTGTGGTATTCTTTCCAAAAAGAATACCAGTCTAAAGGATGAAAAAAACTTTGGATATACCCAGATTGAGATACCTGACCAATCCTCTTCAAGACAGTCAAGGTCAAGAAAAAAGGGAAAGATAGAAGCTGTTACAGAAAAAGGAGTCTGGGAAGACATCACAAATAAATGCAAGGAGGTTCCCTTGATTGGATTCTGAGACAGAAAAATGATATTAATGGAAAACCTAATGAAATCCAAATAAAGACTGGACTGTAGTTCACAGTAATATAGCAACGTCGATTTCTTAGTTTTGAAATACACAGTCATGTGAGACGTTAGCAGTGGAAAACTGGGTAAAGGGTATATAGGAGCTCTGCTATATTTTTACAATTTTCATGTAAATGTAAAATTATTCTACAATATATAAAAATGTTTATTTTAAAGAGGGGTAGGGACTGTTGCTTAAATTATAGTTAAAGATCAGCGCTAATGTGGTTAGCACTAGTGTTTGTCTAAAAAAGAGTAGACTCCATGAAGACATATAATAAAAGGATGTTTATCTATTAGGAGTGCATCATTTGTTTCTGAGTAAAGAACTTATTTAAAAAAAGGAACAACGACAGTGTTAAGTTTTAGGATTCTTACTGTGTTTGTAGCTAACATCTATCAGCCAGTGTGAAAAGATTAATTCTAAAGGGTGGAAAAGAATGTGCACCACCCGACTTCCAAACACAGGCCCAAGACACAAAGCGTTCAGACTGCAGCCATCAATCTGAGAAGTGTCATCCACCAGAGCATTTATGATTCATGCTGACGCTTTTGTATCACCTGGCACCAGTCAGCCTGTGTGTCTACTTTGTTTTTCATCCTAGGGAGTAATGCACTGGATTTCAACTACATTCCTGTGTCATTCCATTTTTCAACTTAGGTAACAGCTAATAGCTAATAAAATTAAAGGTGGCAGGGTGGGAAGACAGTTGTGCTCCAGTGGGCATAGCAAATTCCCAGAGGGCATGGACTAAGCGAATCACAAGGCTTGCACTTAGGCAGAGCCTAGGGAAAGGAATTCAACATGTTGGACAGGGTTTGTTTCAGAGCATATGAGCATATGGACATACCACAGGTAGCTTGGTGTTCAATGTACTTCCCTGAGAAAGACTGGTCACAGTATCAAGGATGACAAGAAAATGAAAAGTAATCATAACCAGGACAATACAATTCAAAATTGCGGGTGGGAAGTTTCATTTTTTTGTAAACACACAACCATGGAGAGGAGAGAGGCAAGAAGTGAGCAGTAGAACAATGTACCACAAGAAAGCTACAAAACAAAACATAAAAATTACTGAAGAGTATATACCAATGACTCTGATGAAAGGAATGTGTCATTGAAAGAATCCACAAAATCCAGTCAGCTGAAATAGTGTTTCCAAAATCTTACACATCATAGTTCGCTCCTCATGCTAGTCCAGGGTAAAATGATCACAGATCACTAAAACCTAGGATGAACTTCCAGACAATTTAGTGTGTCCTTTACGGCAATTTAGGATTCTGGCTAATCTGGGAAACCCATTTCGCTAGCAGTTTCAACTTTTTTGCCTTCCTGGATTTTCCCCATCTTTGACTATTAACGATTATGATAAATAATTTTAAATTTCACTTTACATATATTCTGGTCCACCCTTTGTTTCATACGTATTGGCTCAGAAACATAGCCCAATTTATTTTGGAGGATACCCACTCATACACAGTGGTTCTCTTACTTTCCCATTCCCTATATTCAAATCATTTCACTATTTTTTAGCCCTTTAACAAACAGGAAACAGAGGTCGCTAGGGACTTTCATCATCATTTGTCTCAATAATAATCATGAAGAAAGCTCTAGTTATAAACTCAATAATCAATGAGTATGGTAGATTTTTCTCTGACATAATTTTTTTTAACCAGGATTCATGCTTTATAAACATTTGACTGACTCTGACACCAACTGCAAAATTTAGGGATGTGTACTGAAATTCTCATCACTTATCTTAATGACTTATTGAGGAACTTCTTGTGCCATTAAATTTCTCGCTGAGTTTATTATCTGAATTTATTTATAACTCATCCTAAAACAAACTCTTCTAAAGTTTGAGTAGATTCTTGGGGTGAAGGATACTACAATTTATTGAATAAATCAATAGCCACCTATCATGTCTTTTTTGGTTTTATATATTTTGATGAAATTCCCTTTGTCGGGCTTCCCTTTCCAATCTTTAATCAATCACTCAAACCTCCTATATTACCACACACTGACATTTTCCTTCTCTTTTTCCCTCAGCATATATTAGTCTTTATACAAAAATCAATTTTTTGTCTCTTGATTACTAGTTTCCCTTCCTGAATGTGTCCCTACTTCGGCATATTTCTCTGTGTGAGAGAAATTGAATGACCTACAGTGAAAAAATATAAACATGACAATGTTTTATTTAAATGATAAGGATATGAAAACAAACTACCGAATCCTTTCTACTAACTCCAGCATGTAATCTCTGTGCAGACTCTATTATATTTGGGGGCATATTTAAGATGAAGACACCTGCAATATTCTCCCAACTCCATTCGTTATTCTGCTCTCAATTTCCTCTCATAAAAATGCCACCCATACGGAAACATCATCCTAAAATATGGCAAGATAATTTCTGCGAAAGAATTCATTTTCACCTCTACCAAATTAATCTGAGTTGACACTGAGCCATGCAGATAAAAGCTTGTTTAATTTGGGTTTTAACATATGTTTTTCTAATATATATTTTAAAACTGAGCAAATCTGTTTCACCAAGACTGAAATAGTTTTATTTATAGAAACACTCTTTGAAGGATATGAAAAGAATAAAAAATCATAAAATGTTTTATTCAGCTGAATTATGGTTTGTCTTCTTAAACTAAAAGCTCCCTTAAAACAAGGTACATATCTATCTCATACATCTGTCCATTTATCTATCTATTCATCTGATCATTTATTCATGCAAAATATTTTTGTTGAATATTTTTCATGTATCAGGCACTGTTCCAGGTAATGGGGATTCAGTAAGCAAGATAAATACCGTCTGCCTTTTTGGAGCTCACATTCTTTATTTGTATCCTCCTTGGTGACTGACTCAATATGGTAAACAGAGTATAAGCACTAGTGATCATGGTGGGAGGAAATAGGCCTTATGTGATGCGTTTCTGACCTGGAGGATAAAGACAAGTCACACAGGAGAAGGAGAGGTGGCAAAGAACAGTGGTTAAGTGTAGATTCCAGAGCCAAACTGCCTCTGCCACATACCAGTTATGTGTCCTCATACAAACTGCCTCACCTCTCAGTGTCTCGGTTTCCTCACCTATAAAATGTGGGTGACAATAGCAGCAGCTAACTCCTAAGCTTGAAAGTCAACTGAGTTAAAATTTATAAAACACATACAGAATGCCTGACTCATAGCAGGTGCACAATAAGTTTTTGTTAAACAAAAAAGGTATTCAAGATAAAACAAACAACAACAACAAAGAAAAAAATCCAACCAAACAAACAACTAGAAATCAGATCATGAGATGGTAACTACTAATTCCAGTTTTACCAGTGCATGACATTGGACACTTTATCCTTCCTTTGACCCTATTTCCTCATTTTAAAGACAAATAACACAACATAAATTACCATTTCCTCTTTCAGTAAGGTAGGAATGAGGTCCAGTGATTTTCTGATCCCAGAAGAAAGCTGCATAATTATAAATAGCACATTCTGCTGCTTTTTGCACCATAAATTGCCAGCCCCAGGAGAGTGGCTTAGTCCGGAAAAAGTCACAAACATTGGCCAGTAATGGTTTATTTTGATGAGGAATTGTATTATCACTGTGTTTTGAGTGATCGCTGTGTAACTGTAATTGTACAAAGCAGCCTATGAACATTAAGTGGATATTACTGTAATTTTGCATTATGAGAGACATTGGATAGTGCAGAAGTACACCCAAGGTCACAAATACAAGGGCAGAAAAGGTCTGCAAACCTGAGCTCTTGGATGTAATCATAGTGTATATAGTACGTACAAACACAGAGAATATTACAAACAATTTATATTGACACCATCTGTAGCTGCCTTTCTGGTATTAGAAAGTGAATATTGCGTGCTAAGTATTGTATAATTGTCATGAGAAAAATGCATCAATTAAAAAAGTAATATTTTTCAGGCTGAAATTATTGATGCATTTACAGTATTTGGTAGCTTATCAGAGTAGCAGCTTTATTCTGCTGTAAACCCAAGGGTATATTGTTAGTGTCTGTCATATTGTTTGAAATATTCACCAATTCAACGACAAAATTGTAAATTCTCTTCAGTCTACAAGGCAGAGAGCCATGAGTTATTTTGAAAAATCAAAACAACATGTATTTTGTACATGATAAAATTAAGAAAGCTACCACTGTATGAATCACAGATGCTAATTTGCTGGCATAAATGTAGAATGATATATTGTACAATCCTGGCAATTATGTCAGAAATCATTCTAGAGAAATTCATTAACACCTTTTCTTCAGAAAAATAGAAGTAAGCTGACATCTGTAACTAATATTATGATCTATGTTATTTTATATTATGTTTTTGACTTTATGAATAGTAGGCAACCATAAGATAATTTGAATAGCTAATTATTAAAATACTCAGGTTTTTTAATGCAGTCACTGTTCAAGAATGTGGATTCATTTTGCAAATTATAGGTCTTATTTTACTGACGAGGAAGATGGAAATTGACAGCATTAGAGAGGCACATTAACTCCTTCATGGCCTGGTGCACCATGTAGAGACATCCCTGACGACACAATAGGTAGGGTCCTGAGAGTTTTTATAAAAATTAAACCAGTATAAATTAGACCAGATTTTAAAAGTACTACTCCCTGGGCACAATGGCTCATGCTTGTAATCTCAGCACTTTGGGAGGCTGAGGTGGACTGATCACTTGAGCCCAGGAGTTTAAGACCACCCTGGGTAACATTGCAACATCCTGTCTCTACAAAACAAAAATTTAAAAAAAAAACAGTTAGCAGGGCATGGTGGCATGCACCAGTAGTCCCAGCTACTGGGGAAGCTGAGGTGGGAAGACTGCTTGAGCCCAGGAGGCAGCAACTGCAGTGAGCCATGATCATGCCACTGCACTCCATCCTAGGTGACAGAGTGAGACCTTGTCTTGAAAAAAAAATAGTAATATTATTCTTGCTTATTTAAAATTGAATGACATTCTGCTAAAATTATTAAGTATATGTATATAAATTTATTCAAATATTTCTTTATTAAATATATTATTAGAAAGTTACTTATTTCAAGGGTCCTCTATAAAACAACTGAGGTAGATATGCACTAAAGTGGCCCAAGCCATCTAAGATGACTGTACTTCCACTGGGTACAGTTGGATTTCTAGTCAATACAATATAGCAAAATTTATAAAACAGTTACTCTCTTGGTTAGATTACATTACATGGCAAAGGTGGTTACCTTCATAGTTAAGTAACATTTTACAAAGCTATGTCATAGCAGACTGAAAGAAGAGCTTCTGCTGATCCCAAAGAAGTGAGCTTTCATGTTGTGAGCTTCCTATGGAGAGGCTACATGGCCAGGAACGCTGAGTGGCCTCAAAGTTCTGAGGATAGTCATCAGGTATCAGTCAGCAAGGACATGGGGAACTCAGACCTATGGCCACATGCAGAAGAATTCTGCCAATAATCTGAGAGATTGGAAGTGGATCATTCCCCAGTCAAGCCTCTGATGAGACCTCAACCTTGGCCAATACCTGGATTGGAGCCTGGGGAGACCTCAAATTCAGCAAAGCTGTGCTTGGACTCCTGACACATGGAAATTTTGAAATAATAAATGTGTGTTATGTTAAGTTGCTAAGTTTGTAGTAATTTGTTATACACTAATTGAAAATGAATATATCAGTCTATCATGTAGGTCAATATGAGAAATTTTCAAAGGTTAGTTATTGCTCTCCTCTTCCTAGGTAAGTAGAAATTATCAAGTCAACTAGAAAAAAACTCAAATGTCTTCCGAATGGCCCTTTAGGGCCTGGACATTCAATATATATCATGGATATAATCACTTCCATTCCAAGAGTATATTCTGAGAAATATGAAGTTCCTGCCATATGTAGAAATGATTTAATATTATTAGAAACATGGAAAATTTGTGGTAATTCTCCAAATAGTGTTCAAATGCTGAGACATACATTTCCTCATTTTTAAAACAACTTTATTGGGACATGATTTCTGTTCAACAAACTGTGCCCATACACAATTTGATGAATCCTGACAGGTACATCAACCAAAAAATCACCACCACAAGCAAGAGACACAAGATACCTTATCAACCCTAAAGTTTCCTCATAACCCTTTGTGGTCCATCCCTCCTGCCACCTCCAGTTCCTAGCAACCTGTGATCTTCTTTCTGTTACTATATATTCAGTTGTCATCTCCTAGAATTTTATATAAGTAGACTTATACAAATAAATTTTTGGTGTATCTGGCTTCTTTCCCTCCACATAAGGTAGATAGGCTAATTTTTTCATTGTCTTGCGAAACTAAAAATGCAATATACTTAAAGCTCAATACTTTAGAAATCTCCCTTTTGGTATAGTAACCAAAATTGTTAGCATGGCCATGACATGTGCTGTTCTTTCTCTGTTCACAACACACAAACACACCTGTAAATATGTTACAGGGAGTATATTCCCGATGGGCATATAATATTGATTATATCTAGTGTGTATGTATGTGTGTGTATATATGCATGTATGTGTGTGTGTGTGTATATATATATAGATAGATAGATAGATAAAATCACATGCCCATAAAGAATATACCCATATAATACATACACACATACACACACACATCCAATTTTTTTTTTACAACTGCAGATATTTACATTTCTGTTCAGCTCAAACAAATAACTGATTATGTTTGTAGGGAAAAAATCAATTGAAAATATGGTTATAATGACTACTTACATGTATGCAGTGAATGGCTCTCAGTAATTAACTGACATCATATACTAGAAAATCAATAAGGAAAAATAACCATGCATAGCTTTTCTATTTCATCAATAGAAGTTGCTTGCTATGGCTCTGTCTTAGCATGGGGACAGCCTAAGCTGCAAAGCTTGGGTGACACCTGTCATAATCAATTAGTCAAGTAGAAAAATAGTGCAAAAATGTGGCTTGTAGATTGAGGGTGATTCAATCACTCTCAAATGTTCCCTTAGGAAATGAAATTCTGTTATTCCATTCAGCCATCATTGAATTGCTGAACACTGTTTCTTCCCCCATTCATGCAAAGTAAAATAACATAAATAAATGCAAGAGGTTTGAGAACATTTGTGGGTTGGGGGAAAGACAAAGAAACCATAAAACCTTGTCCAGTTGAAAGCAGCTGTCAGCCCTAGGTGGCAATATTCGTAACTGTACCCACACTGGAAGAAGACTGGATGAAGAATTACCAGCAACACTTGCAGAAAATAATTCCTGCAATCCTAGACAATTATATTCAGATGTGGGATAAGGAGTGTAAAAATCAAAATATCAAATTTTATTGCCTTTCCTGCATAAAATATACATGTTTTTTGCTGGCATTCTTTCCCTTATTATCCTTAATCCACAAACATTAATGGAAAATTTATTTGTGTGATGAATCCTGATTTCCCATGCTCTTATTTCATCCTGATCCCACCTCCATCTCTTGAGCTTAAGGCTGCCAAGTTATATCATCTCTGGAAGGAGGCTTTTTTATTACCTGGCCTCTCCCATCATTCTCCCCTGAAATTCCACCCTAGAAACCAAGAGAGCGGCATAGTTTTCCCGTCAGTCTGTTCCAATAAGCTGAGAAGCAAGGGTGCAGAGAGGGTGTCTGGCAAATAGTGAGACTTGGAAAATCCATTACAAATATAATGGATTTCAACACACTAAAACAAATGAATAAGAGTTTCTAGCAATTATAGGTTCCTATTGGTGTTCACGTCATAGATGCCTAACTACAGGACAACTGACAACCTAGTACTAATGTCCCAGAGGGACTCTGAAGAGTGACAACAGTTACAATATTGGTATGAATGAGTCGGAATCAGCTGCTAGGAATTGAGGGAATACAATTTCCAGTTTGTCTCCTGTCATTTGCAAACGTCAACTGCATTTGATGGTGAAGACTGTCACTCTTGCTTCTGTAAGCCCCACCTCTAGCCACAGGTTTAATGTGTCTGTCTTTTAAAACCTCTAGGTACAAGTGAATGGACAAAATAAGTCACTATAAGGAAATAACTTTCTGACCAATGTCAAAAAAATCATTTCTTTTAACTATAGTCTACCCACCACAGAGTCAAATTCTGAGCTAAGAGATAAACCATTTCCCTGGGCCATTGGGTTTTGACCTACCAACTGGCTAGGTAAAAGCTATATTTGTACATAAAAAATGTGTCCCTCAAGGCAGTTCTGTGAATCTCTGTATCTCCAATAACCTGAAAACAAATCTCCTTCATATTTAAGAACAGTGTAAGGCTCTAGTAATGCAGCATTCTTGAGAGGAGTGTATGTTATTTATATATGCTTATATATAATCCAGATTGAGAGTGTAGTTCAGAAGCAGGCAGGGTCCAAAACCTTCTCCATATTCAGCTTATAATTCCTCCTTTATTATTATTCAGACTTGTCATGCATAGATTATATAAAACTATAATTAAAGTAGAAAAGCCACTGTTAAATGACTATAATTAAGTGCATGTCCTGCTTTATCAGGATTGACTCTCCAGAAAGATATTTAACATACCTTTGCCTTGTCAACACATATGCTAGTGTTCTAATAAACCTGCAGTACAGCAACATATCATTTGCTGTAAATAGATATTTAAAATGCAGACATTCTAAAGAGAGGCACAGCCTCAACTTGTCCTTTTTGCAGTCATGAGTATGACTGGCTGAAAGTAAATAATTCTAGACAGTTCACATATCCCACCCCATCTGACTCCATTAACCTAGCTGGTACTCCATAAAAATAGTCTCTTGCTCTCCAATAAAATTCATGGTCTCTCCTCTCAACTATTTTTCCAGCCTAACTGACATGCATTCTTAATTCCAACATCTAAACTCTGAATTTTATTCTTCTTTGTATGACCTGGCTCAGCTTTTCATAGCTGGCATTATTGTTGTATCTCCTGGCTTTAACTAACCCTTGACTTTTATCTGGACTTCTCTTGAGTGGTTTCCTATTTGAAGATGTTGGGAACTCATAAACAAGCCTTTCAGCACAGTGGCTCTCAAGCCAATGAGTCTTTCTGTTCACTGTGTTCAGTGAAAAGGAAGAGAAAGGAGTTGTAGCTAATGTACCACTAATAGTTTTCTGTTTTATCTCTTTTGCAATCTTTATGAAATGTGAGTGGCCCATGAAAGTGGTGGATGATATTATTTAGAGCTCCCTTGGTGAATAGGTTAAGGGATCAAAACCAGAATACTCCCAAGAAAGGAATAAAACACACATGTGTGATTCTAGGAAAGTATCTCAGGGCAAAGGGGTAGAGAATGTGTTACCACTGAACTCAGTCCAACCCTGTGGACTCATCTTTAAATCTTGTAAAAGGGGTTATCAGCAAAAGAAAAGGAAAAAAACTAAAACAGTACTTGGATTTTCCATTAAAATCTCTGAGGGATATTGCAAACTTACAGCATTTGTACTACATTTAAGTTGTACTAGTGTGGACAGTTTTATATCTGGAGCAGCTTTAGGCTTCATCTGGGTATTCCCAGCAACTTGCTGGGCATCTGCAAGACCAGTGAGAACAGCTGTGCCTTGGCACAAACTCAGTCAGATTTCATAACTGCCGTTGCAGCAGGAGCTAATACAGACAACAAGAAAATGGTCAATGCCATGTGATAACTAAGAAGACTATTAGAGTATGTAGAAATTTAGATGAAGGGAGTTAGTACTTCCCTAATAGTAGGCCTGTGGCTAAACAAACTCTAACAAGATTCTTACTTATGGTTTGATGATTCTGCTTCATATAGCTCTAGGTAAATATCCTAGTATTGGGATGCCACCACAGTGGTGCAGGCACTCATGGCTTGTAAACATGACTACAAGTTTTGTCCCAGATCCATTAAAGGAAATGAAGTCTCACATGAATAACCTGTTCTTGGCATAGCTTTCAGAGTTACAGAATGATGGGTCCTTCTCCATAAATCAGTGGAGGACTCTGGAATTGCTACCCCTATTTTTGGAAGATGAACCCTGGCCTGACATGCTTGCATCAGGAACAAGTCCTAATAAACAGCTACTCCACAGGTGCACACCCTTTCAGGTCCTGACACCACTCTCTCCTGCTCTTCACATCACTGCCGCATGCCTGCTCAAGCAATGAGGCACTGCTGCTATGGATAACAAACTAAATTATATTTGACAGCCTAAATGAATAAGATACATATTGGGATAAAGCATCTTTGACCTTTATAATCTTGTCACAAGAGCCATATATCTGAAAAAGAACAATGGTTGGAAGACCAAGTGAGGATCAGAATGGAAAGGGGAAGGACTTAAGCGTGGATCAGCATCCCTCCCCATGTCTTTCTAGATGAAATGTGAATGTCTGATAGCTTCCGCAGTGTGCTGGAGCAAGCCTACAGCAGCTCAGGTCGACTCATCATGCTCAACTCTTTCCAAGTCAGGATTCAATAACCCCAAGTTAGTAGCTTGAAATTGGCAAGGGTGAGACTATTTGTATCACAGAAACTGGCAAATTCTCCAAATCAGGGATGTTTTTCTTATCAGCACATCACTGGTTAGACTCCCCGCCATTTCAAATTTTCCCTGGGAAATCTGTCTCCATCTGCCAAGGTCCTCAAATTTGGCAGTTGGTGATTATGCCTTCAAAGATGATTCTATAAGTATATAAATAAAGCGAGAAGACACACTTTCACTATAAAAGTGTCTAAAAAGCTTGCTATCTGCTAAACAATAATGAACTGCAAGAATCTGTCTTAGCCTTAGCCAAAGGGTAATATAGCTAAAAAAAAAAAAAAAAAAAAAAAAAAAAAAATCACTTAGAGACAATGATACCATGTTTGCCAAGTGCCATTATAGGCTGTAAAATTTAAATCATCCATTTTGATTTGCACCGATTTATTTTTAAGACCAAGACAAATTCGGCCTTTGCTGTGCTGACTCAATTCTCTACCTACCTATGATTTTCTCTGTCTCTTCTGAGTTAAGGTGACACTTACTGTCTGTATCACTTGGTTGGCACTCAGAATCTATTCCCTTATGTCATCTCTTTATTTGACTGTCTTTTCTACCAAAGTAACCTTGTTTGAAATCATGAGTGTGCTCATATTTCTTTATAGCCTACACAGTGATGGGCATGTCATAGGTTCTTGATTATATATGTTTACTGATATATGCGGGAAATTTTTCCTGTGATCCCGCACATCAACCATCACACACAAAGCCAGGTCATCAAAGTGCCATTTGAGCACAGCCTTCCTTGGTTACCTCCTGCAACATCAATAATTTGTCAGGTTTTATCCTTCCTCTTGTTTCCAATATGCTTAATTTATAACTTATCTTTGTCGGTAACAACTTTTGCATCTTTCCAAGATTTGATCTAAAAATGAGATATTTTGTCTAGCAATCCTTAGGCTTTTGAATATTCTTCTCCAGAAGTATTTATTAGTTATTTTTCCTTAATAAATTCTATAATTATGGGTTTTCAAAGCCCTTCTTGAGAGAATAAAGAAAAACTGTGAATGTGCTTGTATTTTTTTCAAAGATAGTACAAGAAAATTATGCTGATATTGCAGTTCATTTACATTTTAAAAGGTGAATGTATCTTTTGTTTGAACTTTTACCCTCAAAACCCTCATGATGAAGAGAGTCTGGGTGCCATCCCTATTCTGAGGTTCTGAAGTTCCTTTGTGTTATTTTCTAACGCAGCCTTTTAAGCATTCTTGAAAATGAACTAAATGGCCCCATTAGGCTTAACTCTTCAGAAACACTACATTTGCTGTTCATCAGCAAATACAGTTTTTCTCTAATTCGATCGCCCTCAAGCCTCAAGTACAGTGTAATCTGAACATCCCGTGTACAATTAAAACTTGGAAACACATTAAGCCCCCAAAACACAGAAATCGAGAAAAAAACAATACATTTCAGGAAAGTAGAAAACACACATAATCAAGGATTATGGAATGTGAAGAGAAGACAGGTAGAGAATGTTTTTCAGCAGAGCTGAAAAAGCACAAACCTAAGGACACTAAGGTAAGACATGGTTGGGAAGCAAAGGACCCACCCTACAGATCCCAGGACAGCCTGATAATACAGAAGACCAGAGTAAGTCAGGGGTTGAAAACAAGACAATTGTTCGGAATTTTGTGTTAGGCACACCCTGCTCTCTCTATTCCCATCTCCACCACATACGTCAACTTAGTGGGTTTTCTCTACCTGGACAGGAGAGAATAGGTATCACATGGGGAGAACTTAACCTTAAAATCCCTAGACTTGGAGACAACAAATCCACAGAAAAGGAAGACAGAGTTTTGAGACGGCAAACAAAAAGAAAAATAAAATCTGTATACAGAACAGAAATCCTATACCTCTTTATCCACCGGGCTCTATAACCTGGGAACCACATTTATAGATCCAAAGTGAAAGATAAGAGGATGTGTTTTTTTCTCTGGGAAATCTGAGCCACCCCAGAGTAAAGACTTTAAAAAGCTGCTCTTTAGGAGACCATCCTCAAAAGCCAGATGGTCACCTGGTTGTTCTAAAGTGAAACCTCATTTAGTAATGTTGCCTACTAACACAATTTTCAATTATATTTTTAGTGCTTCACTTTTAAATATGAATGGGTAGTCTGCAATTGCTAGAATCTGAGGAACGCTTCCTACAAGAAAAATAGACAAGCAAAAAGTAAAAAGGAACCTAGGGAAACAGGTAACACAAGAAACACATAAAGAAATTTAAGACTAGTGGTTAAAATCCAACACTAAATATTGATGAAGATGAATAGGCTTCTCATCCATTTCTGGAAGAATTGTAAAATGGTATTTTATTTTAGTTATGTTGTAGAACTACTCTAGGGTTTAGATGTTTATAAAGTTATACATCTGTTTTTTATATGGCCTAGCAATTCTATTCCTACATTTTTACCCAAAAGAAATGAAAACATAAGTGCTAACAAAGATCTGTCTGTGAATGTTCATAGCAGCTTTTATTAATAATAGTCAAAAATTAGAAAGCGTTCATATATTAATCAACAAAATAGTAGATAGTAGATAAATACATTAGGACTTGCCTATGTAATTGAATACTACTCAGCAAAAAAATAAGAATGAAGTATTGGTACACACACAACCATGGATGAACCTCAAACCTTTTAGTGTAAAGAAAAAAGCCAGAAAAAAAGAGGAAATAATGTTCATTCCCATTTATATGAAATCTAAATACGGATAAAACTATGCAATGGTGTTAGAAATCAGACAATGGTGTATGTGTATATGAGGGAGAGGGGAATAATAAACTTATGTATAGGACCATGGGAGAACTTTCTAGAGGAATAAAAATGCCCTATGTCTTATTTTGGATGATATTTACAGATGTATATAAAATTGTCAAAATTCAGTGAACTCAACACTTGAGATGTGTGCATTTTATTGTATATTAATTATGCCTCAAATGAAAATGAAAAGTCACATGAAGAAAGAAAAGTGCGAGGGTAGAAAACTTAAAATATTCACCTTCCATAATAGAAATCAATAGATAACATCTAAAAGATATGCCTATTCATGAATATTATTTAAGAATATAGAGGCTGAGAACAGTGTCTCATGCCTATAATACTAGCACTTTGGGAGGCTGAGGTGTGAAGATCACTTGAGGTCAGGAGTTTGAGACCAGCCTGGCCAACAGGGTGAAACGTCATCTCCACTAAAAACACAAAAATTAGCCAGGCATGGTGGCATATGCCTGTAGTCCCAGCTACTCAGGAAGCTGAGGCAGGAGAATAGCTTGAACCTGGGAGATGCAGGTTGCAGTGTGCTGAGATCGCACCACTGCACTCCAGCCCGGATGACAAAGCAAGACTCCAAATAATATATATATATATATATATATATATATATATATGTGTGTGTGTGTGTGTGTGTGTGTGTGTGTGTGTGTGTGTATGTGTATACACATAGACGTAGAGAGGCAAATATTAAAAGTAAGTACTAACATTTTAACAGTAACTGTTTCAGGAAGGCAAGTCTTCAAAATTGAAACCAGTATAATTTTCCTTTGCCTCCTTCCTCCCTAGCCTTATCCTTCCACTTTCTGAGTTGAATAGGATTCTAAAAATATGCTTAATAATTTCTTTAATAACAATAAAACTATTTTTAAAGTCAATGCAATCAAAAGAGCAAAACAAAAGCTAAAAGAGAAAGTTAACATTATGGTGCTTTGAAAACACTGGGTACTAAGAGTTTCAGAAGAAATGGTTTGCAAATGCTGAAAGCTGATAGCCCATCCTCAGATGTCACTATTGTCGTTAGGATAGGATGGATGCAAGGAAGGAAAGAGAGAGGAGTAAAATCTCTCAGCATTACCATCAAATATTAGAAGGAAAAATACGCTTTGAAGCCAAGTTAAGCTGAGTTTGTACAATGATCTTTCTATGCAACATCTCTTCAAGACTAGCCACATTATTTTTAGCAAAATGACTACCAATAAAAACTTAGAGACAAATAAACATGGTTATGTAAAATCTTTAGCAAAGTGCATGATACAGGGCAGACATTAAAAAATGTATGCTATTTTCGTACTAAGGTAAGTGAGAAAAGAAGTTGCAACCATTGCCTTTAAGACATATGATTGTGTGACCTTAGGTTTATTCATTAATAAGTTTAACATAAGTAACATAGCTTAACACTTAAATGAGTGTTGTCTTTTTCAAGGAGTCACTTTGCCAGCTATGTTTATGCAAGTAAAGAATCTGAGGTTATTAAAACAATTTGGGGAACTTTTTTGAAATTGTTCTTAAAGTCTGTTGTTTATAAATACTTAAGCTATGAGACATTTTGATACTTCAGAATGATCGATTTTAAGAAGAAACATATAGAAACAAAAATAATTTGGTGCCATAGGTACTGAATAGTTTGGTGTTCCAGTTGAATGGCACACTGTTTGGATTTATAGGGAAAATAAGTTTCGACTATAAAGCAGTGACAGTGTTTTCACTGTGCAGCTTGTGAGCTGACTCTGGCACCACTTCTAAAAGGCAGAATTCCAGAAACATTAAAAGTCATTTTCCAAAGTAACTACTTTGAAGAAAAATATTTATGTAGATATTGAAGTTAATATTCTAGTGGCTAAGCTTTTATTTGTTCAAAGTCATACATTTTATTTCTGCCAAACATAAACAGATCCAAATGATGCAAATTATAAAACCAAAAATCCTTAAATGGGACTGGTGATAGTGGGAATCAGAGCCACCCTCCCATAGGCAACATTTGCAAAATTTAAAACCATTGAATGTGGATTTCTAGGGACCCTGCAGACTGGGAGAACACCGGCAATATCTGAAGCCAGTTTAATGTAGAGCAGCAAGGCAAATTTTAGGGCTTCTCTGCCTTGTTGATTTATAGGAAAGTATGAGGGAATCGGAAGCTCTATCCGAATAATCCTGATGACCATTAAGAATTAAAACCTAAGCAGGGCACAGTTTGTTCTGCCTGTAACCCCAGCACTTTGGGAGGCTCAGGCGGGAGGATCACGTGAGGCCAAGAGTTCAAGACCAGACCGGGCAACATAACGAGACCCCCATCCCTACAAAAAAAAATTAAAAATGAAAAAAAAATTTAAATGAAAAAAAAAAAAAAACAACGATCAAAAGCTAGTCTCGTATTTTAGGGAGAATCACTTATTTGAGTAAATCCTTCCAAAAAGTGTCATTAAAACTGATCTCTAATATGTGTTCAGTCTGAAAGAGATGCACCTACAATTGCCAGACTTTGGCTCCTGGAAAGCCTCGAAGAACTTATCTTTCTCTCTTGTGTCCTTAAATTGCATAAACCCAGGCATATTTGGCATAAAAGTACTGGGTGTGTGATAAAATAATTCTGAAGTAGACAGCATAACCTCATTTTAAGCTCTCATTTGTGAGTTTCGATTTTTGTTTTTCTTCCCAATAATTTCTACGTGTCAGAATTATGTCTGTCAACTCAAATGTCACCACAGTTTATTTCTCACTTATGGTCTTATTTGACCTGAGCATCTGGATTCTGCCAGCATTACAAGAAAATGATGACAACAAAGAACACGAACTTTAAGATGAACAGTTTTCAGTGATACGTATGAATCTGTACTCTTTTATTCTCCAAATATTTTGTATTTATCTGGAACAGTCAAATGAGATTCATAAGAAAATCAATGACCAACCCAGATTGTTTGTGCTATTCCAAAATAGCTCCACTTTCCCCCAACTGTTTTCTGTGCTTTTAAAGCCCAAAAAGATAATACTAACTGCTCCTAGCGACAGCTCAACATAATGCCTCATGTAACTGTCACAATGAAATACCTAATTTCCATGATAAAATAAGAGGAAAGTGCTTTCCAGCTTGCAAAGGTTGCATCATCTGTGGACTATCTCACTCCAGTTAGGTAATGTACTCACTATAGAGAGTTGAGGCATTATAGAAATGTTTTGCTACCTTCTCAAAAATCCTAGGCACAAATAGTATCCCAGGGGTGAAAGCCAAAGAAATGCTTACAACAAGAAGTCTTATGTTACTATGCAAAATACATGCAAAAATTGTGAATTTAAAATCTCCAGCTTGTGTAGAATACCACATTCTGGTTTTTTGAACTCACCCATACTATTGTCTCTGCCTCTCAATCCCTAGTCCTTTTATCTGGTTAGCTGGAATTTCTCTCATGTCTCTTTAAAATATCTCTTCCTCTGAAGAAAAGTTAAGTTCATCAACAGGTGAGGTTCCTTCCTCCTGAATTCACATATCCTCACGCAACCTCTCCTTGTATACACTCAATAACTTGCAGTTACTTGTTCAGTGTGTGTCTTCCTACATCAGCACATGCTCCCTGCAGGCAGATGTATAATGTATCTGTTTCATACACTGTGGTGAACTAAAAAAGATTATCCACAAACTCCATTTATCTCTTGTATATGATGTGCTTATCTCTGGGAACTCGTGTTAAGTTAGTCAATGGTAGTATAAAAGAAGCACTGTGTCTGTGTGTACACTTCGGAGCTGCGTGTGGTCCAAATCTGTGTTGAGATGGCATGGTTAAGGTCTAATGCCTGGTGCTCCAGGAACCAGACTTAGCAATGAAAGCAACTACAGCACCATGAGAGTGTATTCTATGGAACCATTTGTTTAATGTAATACTTTGGCCTGGAAAATCGCTGGTGGTGTTGCTTTAGTGACAATATTGAGCCAAACATCAAACCCAACAAATGGGAAGACCTATAAGATGAGTACCAATAAAGAAAAAGTTGCTAAGAAAATGAAAACATGCAATTTCAGGGGATGGGAATATGTGGTGAGAGAGCACCATGCAAGAACTTTCCAAGCAAAGAAAATCCAAGTCATACTTGGCAGTGTCAGAGCCAAGATGACGCTTAGAGTGCCCTTAGAACTTAAAGAGCATTATGACAGTCACCATCAACTGAGTTATCTACCGTGATATTAATGGGAGAAGAAATTCTCTGTGAAAAAGAAAGGTACTATTTTGCAAAAAGGATAACAAAATAAAACTCCTAACCTCATGAAAACTATTATTTCGGTAAAATCCATACGTCTTTGGTAGATCAGCAAATTATTATGTGCCAGATCTCAGAAAAAAGATTATTTTCCTGGATAATTTTAGATTACTGCTTTGATAATAGAGTGACTTACCATTAGTTTCAAATTTCTAGGTTTAAAAAAGTTACAAGATATATTAAAAGTAGTTAAAACAGGATATTTTATGTTTGGGGAAATATTTAAAAATGAAAATGATGATGATGATAGCATCATTTTTTTTTTTTGAGATGGAGTCTCACTCTGCTGCCCAGGCTAGAGTGCAGTGGCAAGATCTTAGCTCACTGCAACCTCCACCTCCTGGGTTCAAGCTATTCTCCTGCCTCAGCCTCCAAAGTAGCTGGGACTACAGGCATGTGCCACCACACACACCTGGCTAATTTTTGTATTTTTTGTAGAGATGGGGTTTCACTATGTTGACCAGGCTGGTCTCAAACTCCTGACCTCAGGTGATCCACCTGCCTTAGCTTCCTAAAGTGCTGGGATTACAGGAATGAGCCTGGCCCAGAGTATCATGTTACTAAGGGAAATGCAAGAAGATCTGATTGAATATCTGATCACTGAGCTCCCCTCCCAGTCTTACAGGACCCTCTTACAGAGCAATGTTGTCTCACTGAACAAATAACTGATTATCTTAAATAACCCACAACTAAGTAATGTCAAGTGGTATCATAAGAATGTAGAGAGTTCAACAAGCAGGGGGCAAATTTTCCAGTCCTTTTCCTTGCCATAGTAAACAATGTTGTGGATTTAACAAAACATTTTGAAGAACCCCACAAAACTGAAATTGCTGACTATGAACTTGATAGAACTTGAAACTAACTAGTATTTGCCTGTTTATTATGTATACAGTTTTTCATCAACTTGGAAATGCTTCTTAAAAATATTAAATATTTACAAATTATGGTTTTGTTACACTGTGCTTAATTGTTCTATTACTTAGAATCATTAGTTGTAGTGTTCTAGAGATTGAACATGTATTAAATAATAAAGTTAAACCTAAAAGTGTTTTAAAAGAAAACACAACAGAAAGCAATTGGTTAAGAACAAAACAAAAGAAAAATGAAAAGTGTTATTACAGGAATAGAATACTAACCAATCTCATGAAGGAAAACTGTGGGTCCATCTTTTCTGTAAAATATTTAAAAATGGCATACAGGGAAGGCACTTCAGGGATGGGAAGCTTCAGTTACCTGTGCATCTGCTCAAAGTGTGATTCAGCTGAGAGCCCATCATCTGATATGTTCCTGATGTGCCTCACTGATGATTCCATCATCCAGAAAGTAAAGAAAGCAATGAGAAAAATGATTACTCAGGACTTAATTCCAGCCAAGAAGAAAGAACTGGAAGATGAGACGGGTATAGCAAGAAAACGTGGAGAAAAGGACCGTGACACGTTGAAGTGCCATAATCACAGAGGGGAGAGATGAAGACTGTGAATAGACATGAAAATTATTTTCAAAAGCAGAAAAGGTGGAAGAAAGTAATAGAAAGAATGAAACAAAGAAAAACCAAAGGAAAAATAGCTATGACCTAATTGGCAGAAATTCTAAAACAGAAAATGACTTCACAAGAAAGAGCATTCCTACTTAAAAACACATTACAACTAGGTATCCTTAAATTATTTCAAGAGGAATAAACTAAGAAGTCATTAAATGACCCTAATAAGGCTGGTTGCACATAGAATTTTCTAATGAGCTCAGATTTGAGGCCTTAGAATGACTTGCAGGGCCTCTGGGAACTGCTGCTGTTCATCTCTCTAGCTCCCTTCACACCCCCACTCTGCTTCACTGATCTAGCCCCAAAACCCATCCTTCAGTTTCTGAAAGCCTTGCCTCTTCCTTTTGTAGGTCTTGTCTATATTGTTCCCCAGTTTGGGACCACCAGCACTCAATCCTCCACCATCCCCCAACTTCGCCCAGTGAATTCCAGTGCCTCATTTAGATCTCAACTCAAATGTCAATTTCCTAGAAAAGCCTGGATAAGATCCTCTGTTACATATTTTCCTAGTACCCTCCAATGTATTTGCATATTGCACATACATTTTTGTAGCACTTATAGTAACTTGTTATGACATATGCAAAGACTGTGTTGATGAACATCTGTCTCCCATGGTGGAATATAAGCTTCTTGAGGGTGGATGCAATGCCTGTTTTGCTCACGATGATCTGTACAGTGTCCAGCATAGGAGTTAAAGCACTTAGTAGACATACAAGAACTATTTTTGGTTGTTCTAGAATTCACAAGAAAATGACTGAATACTGAATATGGAAGGAGGGGCATTTGGCAAAGATATGCATGCAAAAGGGAGATAAAATGGTTAGAGTGATTTTTGGAAGGCTAAAGGTCAGAAAGAGCTGATGCTTGCAAAACATGGGAAATACCCAAAATAGGGCTTTCACACTAACTAGTTTTAAGTGATTTTCCATTCCTTCTATCTACTTCTGCAATAACCATCATGTTAATTCCTGAGAAGTCCTGTGACATTCACTCTTTCAGGTCAGACCACAAGGCAATTTAATTAAAGTCTGAATTGAATCTGACAGCTAAGAGTTTCGGTATAATGGCCTAATGGTGGAGCAAAGCTAATATGGTCAATCAAGTTTACTACATGTTTTCCAAGATAAAGTTTTTCTAGACTACTGAATTTTACAGAAATAAAGAAGAATCAGCTGAAAAAAAATCTGTATCTTAATGAAACTTTATGTTCTCCATTAAAACAACAGTTTTTCTCAGGCAAGAAGATTGTGATTGTGAGAAGTGGTGATTATGGGGCTATCTATGCATCTACATAAATTCTGGTTCCCCTTTTGAAAAATTATATTTGCTTACATTGCTATCAGATACCACAATTCCATAAGAAAAGAAAAGCCAATTGGTTAATGAGTTAACCAAAATATAATGGTTAAAACTATTTTTATTTCTATTTCTATATCTATTACAGTAAAATTAGCACTGAGCATCACAACTATACCAGCTAAGGGCATTTAGGCCATTGGCATTCAGTTTCTCAAGCAATCTCTTAGATTTAGTTTATATGCAAGCCAACCTGAAAACTGAAAATTTTAAAATCAGTCACTCAGTTGGTTAAAACTCATGCAGCAATTGGATAACAACAACTAGAGAAGAAATAATTGAATAAATTCACTTATAACTTCCAAAATACAACGTTGCTGTTAGGCACTTAGAAGAGAATCTTTAAATTGTGTTCTTTCTCAAAATAGGGTTTGCATAGAGCCTCAGGGTATTTATCACTGAGTGGATCCTCAAACCCTCCAATAAATCATTTTACAAAAACTGAATGTCTTTTCACTAATAGTAGAATTAAGTACAGAGTAAGCTTTATAGAACTGTGAGCAGTAGGTATAAAACTCAAGGGAAGTTACTTAACTTCTCTGGTTTGTAATTTTTTAATCATAAAATATGTACCCCAAACAGATTTATTATTAATATTTAAAAAAATACATGTAAAATTATTAACCACAGTGTCAAGCACCTAATAGCTGCTCCGTTAGTATTACATTGTATTTGAAAAAAGAGTTAAATATGCAAATTACAAAGGAGAGTTTTGACTTTCACAAATATTAAAAATAGATTTACAAGTATCATTTTAATAAGTTAAATAATCCTGGGGAACAGAGACTGTAGAATCATGAATTCAAATCAAAACCACCAAAGACATGCGTATGATTGGAAGTTTACGTAATATATCTGAGATAGAGGTTGTCTGACCACTTGTGAATCTGAATGGGAAGACAACAATAAGAAATGTGCACTTGGATCAAAAATGCAAGAAACAAGCAGTGGCCAATCACTTCATTTGGCATTGCTATAATATTTAACATAATTTTCACTATTAAATGCAGCTTACAGTATTTCACAGTTTACAGAAATGATATTTTGTATTTCAGAGTGGTTACAATGGTCCCTAGTTTACCTTTGGAAATACGTATCCCCAGCGATTTGCTTTTGTTTCCAATGTCCCATTTTTCATGTCTGTCTAACTCTGGCTCTCCGGCTCTTTTCTAATTTTTCTCACTTTATCATGGATAGAACAAATGAACGTGTGTTGGATGATGGCTTTATGGCATCTCACTATCCTTAACTTTCTCACCAGATTTCACAGCAATCTACATATTTAATGAAGTGTTAAATATGCAATTCATATTTTGTTTCCTTAATGATAAAATGTATTTTCCCCCTTAATTCTTTCCACAGAATACATCAGGGTAATAATTCCATTAATCATCATAGTCTTACTTCAATGTTTTTCTAAAATTTCCTCAGTAATCCCTGCCCTGGAGTAACACTTGCCCTAAACAAACATCTATTAATTTAAATATGATTTTCTTTTAACATTCTAACTGTAAAACATATTCTCTATCATGAACATTCTCCTCCCACCCAACCAAGAAGGAAAAATTAGTATTGATTAGAAACTCTGATTTCAATTTTAACATGTACAGATGTAGACTTAAAACAAGTATATAATTATCAGACAGCATTTAAAATAATTTAGCAGCAAGATATATCATAGCTTGTGGCTTTATTCTATAATAACATTCCAACATTCATTATTCATCATCTTTACTGGGCTTATTAGCAGAGCAATTTTTCCTCTGATTTTTTTGTAAATTCAAACAGTTTTGTTCAGCATAAAGGTAAGCAGAACATAAACTTAAATTGCATTATGTAATCTTCTCATTAGCAAACATACAGCTTCCTGTTATTAAGTAAGAGTTGATTCCTATATGTGGTAAAGAATACAGCTATAGTATTTTATTCAACTGAAGATTGTCTTATCCAATTACAAATTGTCTAATATATGAAAAAAACCTATGCCAAATAAAAATAACATTCTCTAAGGTTATATTCTAAATTTAAAACGCAATTCTATAAATGTTTTTATTCTATACTAATTGAAGCAAATGAATAGTATTTTATACAAATATCTTCCCCACATAATACATACATGATTAACAAACCATGAAGTTTCAGACACAATATATTTTAATTTCAGAATTGTAATAAACACCTCATATAAAAATTATTGATATTTACGCATAGAGATTTCTAGAATTTGAAGAACATATTCATGGTTGAAATACAGCTGGATATATACCATGACTTGTACACTGTTTATATTTATGACAAAACTCAATAAAAAATTTCAGGGTAATGAGACTATAACTTGAATATAATTTTTCTAGGACAAAGTTGAATTATCAACAGTTTTTATATAACATCAGATTGTTAAATTTCTACATTTTGGGGGCATAATTTGTATATTCCTTTTTACAAATCACATCCTATCCAAGATGTGTAGAATATAGAGGCCAGAGAAAGTCAGTAAGAAAATGATCCACAATGTGTAAAGAGGTGAAAATACTACCTAAGCAGCACCAACAGCGGTGATGCAACCTTACTGTTCAATTAGTGCCTAAGAGGTGACTGGAAACTACAACAATGTGATAATCATGATGATAATGATGCTAAGACAATGACAGCAGAGCAGATTAATTCTCCACAGAGCCACATGTTTAGACTTAGAACCCCCAATGAAAATAGCTTTATCACATACCTTTCCAGATCTGAGTCAACTTACAACTAGAACTATTTTAAAATGTTTTAATAAGAAATAATCTGCCAGTTAAAATCTGTGCCATTTGTGGTTTGCTAAGGTTTCTAATTTCTACAAGAGTGGCCCTGATCTCATTTTCAGTCTCTAGTTTTCCTAAGTAGACAGAGTCTAATATGTGAGGATGGAGGCCTTGGTCAGCCTCATGCTATCTGCTGGTGAGAGAGTTGAGCCAGGAACACATTCTGAGGGAGGCTAAGTACACAAAAATGATATTTTCAGGGCAGTAGGGTGGTGAGAGGTGAGATAAATACCAGAAAAGAGAACAAAGATGATAAAATAAGGACAAGACCAAAGTATTTGATTTACTGGACTTATAGCAGAGATAAAGAATGTACGCCAATGAAACGAAGCTTCCAGAAGCAGATCTTGACCCACTGTAGTAATACTGGGTGGACATGCATTGGTCTCTGACTTTGTACAAAGCTTTGTGATACCTCAGGGGGACACAGCATAAATGTACCACAGTACCTTCCTCAAGATGCTAAAAATAATACACTGGAATAAGCCTTTACTTCTAATAGGTGGGAGCACAGAGGAATGACCAGTAGATTCTGCCTTGTTGGGTTTGAGGAATAATTTGTGGCAGATTTAATGTTAAAATAAGACTTAAAACTTAAGTTGAATTTCACCTGATAAAGAGAGAGAAGGAAAAAAAATTAAAGTAGCATTCTACCTTACGGGTGTATTAGCATTGCAAATTTATAAATGGTAAGAGGTGATAAAATGCCTCCCGACAGGCTTTGGAGTCAGATAGACCTAAGTTCTAATTTGAACTGTTAATGTCAGTCATGTTTCTACCTCTACAAGCAGGGATAATGACCTATATTTTTACATAACTATTGTGGGGTTTCGATGTAATAATGTATTTAAAGTGTTTAGCGCATTGCCTGTCCCACATAAAGGACTTAATGTATATTGTCCCCACTTATACAGGGACCATAATATTTTAGTAAATTCAACAAAGATTATGATGATTATATACTCAGAATTAGTAATTCCACTTCTGGAATTCTTCCCAA
Organism: Homo sapiens; assembly: GCF_000001405.40. Lineage (NCBI taxonomy): Eukaryota > Metazoa > Chordata > Mammalia > Primates > Hominidae > Homo > Homo sapiens. Next base: position 53,118,536 of record NC_000018.10, on the reverse strand, counting down.
AGGAATGAATATAAGTGTTGGAAATTTAACAATATGCACAAGGGCAATCGTCAGTGAAACAAGTGAAAGCAACCTACATGTCTAAAATTTCGTAAAAGCCAAGAATGACATGGAATAATCACTCAAATGAGGTTTCTTTATGCGTGACATCTGAAATTCTAGTTATAAAACTACATGCTTTATATACGAAACACTATGATGCAGTATTATTTGACGAAGGTAGTAGTCAAAATATATATTACAATTGCAGTGCAGATAATCGAAAATTATACACAGTGGTTTGGAAGATAATATTGCCTATAAGAGCTGGTTTAGAAAAAAGTAATAATAATCATGTCACTGCAAAAATATTATTGGGGGCCTTCTTTGTCTTTTGTTTGATAAAAAATAACACACATAATATGGTTCTACTACATTTCTGATAAATGCAAATGAAGCATTGGGAATTTGCTGACTTGTGTGTAATCAACTCCCCATCAACAGAGGTGTTTATGATGACGTCAGATGACCCATGTCAGTGATGCTGTGACGTAGAGGCTGGTAAAGATGACCTGAAGACCAAATCCATCTGGCTGCCTGTTTTGTGTGGCCCATAAGACAAGAAGAATGTTTACATTTTTAAATGAATGGGGGAAAAATCAAAGGAAGAAGAACAGTTCATGACGTGACAAGAATGTGAAATTCAAATTTCAGTGTCCATAAATAATGTTTTATTGGAACACAGGCATGTCTATATATTTACATGATTTCTGTGGCTGCATTTGCCTGAAAACTGTAGAGTCCAGGAGGTGCAACAGAGATCACGTGGCCTGCAAAGCCTGAAATATTTACTTCCTGGTCTTTACAAAAAAAAGTTTGCTGACCTCTGCTGTAGAGGAATTTTTTAATTGAAAAAGCGGTTAAATCTGAATGCCCTTAATTCAATCTTCAGGTTTAGTGCAAAGGTTCCATGATTCTCTCATAGTTGTCTGCATATAAGCAGCAGATGGAAAACCATTGATTTTGAAACAGCAATACAAATTCAACAACTAAAGAGCCCCAAACATTCAGCAACACAAAGATTGGAAGCAAATAAAAGTTTGGGAGAAGATGACAAAAGAAAGGGTGGAGGATGAGTAGTAAAATTTGGTCTGGATTCTGAAGCTTCCTTCTGTCCTATTCTCCTTTAATCCTCAAAGGAGCTTAAGAAAAGCAGTTTTAGTTTGAAGCAAGTGAAACTTGCTGCTTTTGTAGGTCAAAAACCATCAAATATTGGAAATTTCATACGGAGCAAGTAAACTTTCTTACAGTGCAGTATTATAAAGGTAATATTGACCAATGCAATCCAGCCAAAATAACTCCCAATGTAGAAATGGATTAAATGATCTCACATAAGCAAATTTTAATAAAGGATGGATGCCTTCAATGGAGAATGTTTTAAATGCTTAGTATTCCAAAGCTTAGTTCAGGTATTCTCTTTTGACATTTGAAAGACTTATATATGCATTTTACTGGATTTTCATTGATTATAACTTTCCATCTAAAAAATAGTTCAATGTGAATTTGGTTATTTGAAAGTTCACTTGATGGGCTGGTTGAAAATCTAAACTATTTTGGTCACAAGAGAAAATAAATTTATTTTACTTTTTCAAAACTAACTTAATATGGAGGATCTGCCCTTTAGTCTAGACATAGGAATTAGGGAAATGGGTGAGATAAATGTGTACTGTTTTTTAAAAGGTTAGCAATATATATTATATATCAAGAAAAGGTGAGAAATATTCAATTGAAATCGAAGGAAAACTTTAGAAAGATTAATTTTTACAAAGAATGAAGTAGAAGAAGTGTATGATATTGAACTGGATTTAAAGCAACCTCCTTTGCTACAAATCATTTTTAATAATTCCTGATCTGAAACCCAAGAGTACTTTCATGTTTATTTGAAAGATGCAATAATGAATAGCTGCAACTGTGTAACAAATCAAAAAAAGATGAACCTATCCTAGTTAAGACAGAGGTAACTTTGCAAACATCAGGAAAACAAAACCATGTAACTAAAGTTGAAGTCATTCCATTGAAGCAGGAAAACAGGGTCTGGAGACACGGAACATAAGGCTGATTCAGCTATGACAGGAAATATCCTCTCCATAGGGCGCAGGCCAACTAGATGACTTTGTCACTTTACTTCTTCCTCTCCATTTACATAAGGCGTATCCCAAATAAACAATGGAATCCTCTAGGGGGTATTTAAACTCCCAAAAATTCTGTAACGGAGCTTTTTGAGCTCCTATGCTCGGGCTAGCTCCCACACTGTGGAGTGTACTTTCATTTTCAAGAAATCCCTTTGTGCCTTTCTTGCTTTGTTTGTGCGTTTTGTCCAATTCTTTGTTCAAGTGGCCAAGAACCTGGACACTCTCCACCATTAACATCATGTGTTGCAAATCTGGCTCCATTTTGACATTTTACTAAGTAACAGGTCAGCAAAATGTAACATTGTGTGTCACGATCGTTCAACCCATTATGAGGATTTGGCAGACCCATAAATTTATCTAATCTACTTTGAACCATTCCCCACAGCACCCCCCTCAACCCCGCTCCCACATCCTGGGTAAGGATTTGTCCCTGGTCCATTGCATATATTCTCGAGATTATTGGTAAAAAAAATCATAAAGTTGCCACAGAATACAGTATAGTAAGAAAAATATTCGTCTTAAAGAAAATTTTTAATCTTCCCATTAAAACATCTCATAATTATCTTTTAGCAAATACAAAAAAATTTTTGTTCAAGTTGAGTTTACTTTTAATGCCAAATAACCAAATGTACACATTAAATGAATGAGAATCCTAAAATAGATTTTTATCATAAAAGAATATCTCTTACTTTTATGTACAAAACAGTTAGGTAAACTGTTTGGTAACTCAAATGTTACCTTCATTAAGAAAATGCAACCACCACAGTGCTTGTATTTTTTACAACTACTGGCCGAATTCTAGCACTGGGATGGGGGAATCAAATCTAAGAGTGAAATTGGATGGTCCAGTTTTGAAATGGGATTTAGAAAGCTATCTTCTAGTCATTTCATTCAATTAAGTCACTACTAGTTTCTATACTACCCTGCCCCCACCCGTATCTGCCACTAACCACACACACACACACCCCAACTTTAATATGCTAGGTAAAACAAGCAAAACTAATTTTCAAAGATGACATAGATACTCAAGTCTCCATGAAAATATATTAGATATCATCATGGAAATGTCTTTTATTTTGTGTGTATTTCTTGTAATGCTAATTCTCTTTCTGTTAAGAAAGATTTTAGTTCATCTCCCACACCTCAGAAAACCATCATTGGCATACAACCAGTGAACTGCTATGCCATACAACAAATTACCACCAATAATCCATGAGTGTGATTTTTTCCCTTTCCTCTTGAAAAGTCTATTTTCTCCAAATCATTGGTTAGCTAATAAATATTAAGTATTTTTTTAAGGAGAAAAACCTGAAAATTGGAAGGCCTTCTTGAAGAAAGGGAAAAACCTTAAGAGTTCATTTCAAACAAGGGCTTAGCTTTCAACGCAGAGAATGCAACAGTTCATGTGTTAGCATTGATGGCAGTGGGCCTTGCTTTCAACGTTCAAAATAATAATTGCACTTGGACACATTTCTTTCATCAAGTGTATAAAAATTTCTTCATCTGTATTCCATTTGTCCCCAAATAAACGAACTGGCTTATTTTTATAAATTTGTGAATCCAACCATAAATGTAATCAAGGAGCCAGGGCCCACAGAAATCTATAGCCCTGGCCTGGTCTTTTCAAAGTGATTTGAAGTCCTCAGTTATTCTGTGTAGGAGCAATTCAGTCCAACGTGGCTGATCTGCATGTCAATAACCCACCACTCTACTTTGCAAAGAGAATATATTTTTCTGTTCCTTTTTGTGGGCTCATGGGCTTGGTATGTACACTACACAACATGCCTGATTTAAAAAAAAATTGTGGCTTCCACATTTTAAAAATAACATCGCAACTGTTTTCTCAATGGCCCACCAGATTTTAAAATATGCTGAAGCTAACATGAAAGAAAAACACTTTTTGAGTTTGCTTTATACTGAGATACTCTATTACTTTTTTATGTGATTTCTCTTAAAATATGCAAGTACTGATACTCAGGAGAGTGCATTATGCACTTGGCAGGCTGTCACTTTTCTTTTCAAAGTTAAATATCTTATACAGAAACAAAACCTAACTATTTAAAAATAATTTGCACCTGACATTACTTTTTAAGACATTACTTGGGGTGGGGGGGGTGTTCATTAAAAATGGGTACAATTTAGAAATAAAGCACTGCCAGGATTCAATACAAATGCTAACTGGTATTATAAATGACTGTTTGGTAGGATGTCATTTACATAAACATGAGTGCATTATGCACAAGTTACGATTGCAAAGGGCTATGGGATACCAATTTCCAGAGGGCTATTTGACTTGTCTTTTTTCAATCAGTAATTTATAGTCTATCTTCATGTTCACAATTTAAATCTTCAGAACTGTAAAATTCTGCTTGAAATTTAGAGAGAATGAAAGCTTCAGAAAATTCAGAAATTTAGAGCAATAGAATAAATATGACTCTAATATAGTAAAGGTATAATTAAAACATCATTGGCAAGGCTTAGTTAAGATTACATAATAAAATGACAGAAAGTGAAGCAGTATGGTTCTGAAATTTATCAGTTAAAAATGAAAGAAAATATGGCTATTTAATGGGATTGAGTCCGTTTAACACCTGGGATTTACCATTAGTTTGTTAAGACAAGAAATGCATATACTATTTCTTAAAAAAAAAAGCAGGTTTTTGACAAAAATAAAAGCTTTTGCTTTAATAATTCTGAAAGTAATCTACATTCTAAACTTTTCTAATTACAATACCTGTTGATCTGGTATAAGGTCAACTTTTATTTCCATGTGACTAAAGAATAATAGGATTTATACTATATGAATTATATCTTAATAAAGCTGTTACCAAAAAAGCCAAAGTAAACAAATAAAAGCAAATAAAGAAAAATAGAATCTGTTTTTTTAAAGGAAAAATATCTGAACTAATGAAAATCAATATATACAGGTAAGATTATGAGATTTCCAGAAGGGACACGAATGAGGGTAAATATAAGTCTTATAAATTATCATGTCAATCATTAAATCACTCTAAGTCTCTCACTGTATTGAAATCGAATTAATAAATTATATCCAACTACATAAAAATAAATCTTACGTGTTCTATAGTTTATTTACCGAGCAGCCTCTGAATAAAAGATTCTGATTCACTGAATTTTCATCCCATATAAATATTTTAAAAACAATAAAATATACATCAACTTCTTTAACCTTCTCTTTTACATTGTTTTCAAATAAGCATTCATGGATGTGTTATTTGGTGGATTCAGTTTAATTTTTAAAATATACTTTAATGGGATTTTTTGAATCACTGGAGCCCTAGAAACTCATTTAAAAGAAAATCTCTCACAATACTGGCCCTGCATATTATTGATTCTATGAATCAGTCATGAGCAAGAATCCAAAGGAAAGAGGATGATGTTTTTAGGGAATTTTCAAAATGTAAGTCAGTATTTTAATTCCAATTTTAAAATTAAGCAAAAAGGCTTATAAGTACTAATGACAACACACATTGCAATTACACAATTGGATGCTGAAAGCTAAAAATGTTTCAAGGTAGTACAGAGTACTTCACCATATTCTGTGGCCTTATTATGTTTCACTGCCCAGTGATCTTTTGAGTGTGAATAATATCCAATTCTACCCCAAGAATCCTGCCAATATGGAATCTATGGTGGGAAGTAAAATAGATTTTCTTCCCATCCTTTTAAGGAGGCCCTTTAAGAGTCTAAAAAACATGTCTCAAGGTCCTTACATACAGCTTATCTGAGGGCAGCTGAAATGTTATAGCTTATGGATTACTCTCATAAATCCATTACATTATTCATACACCCATAATTTGATCACTGTAAAGTCACCCACACTCAATGCAGCAGCACTGCACTTAATAAAGGCAGATCTGGGTTCAAATCCAGAAGCTGCCATTTATTATATGAGTGAGTGGCGAGTTTCTTCACCACTTTAAATTCTATTTATTTGTGTCAACTGTACAATAGAACCTTTCTCATGATAGTGTTGTGAGGATTTTATGGGGTATAAAGTGAATAAAAAGTACTTAGCAGAGTATATATTCACTTAATTTTCATAGTTATTGACTTTTTTTTTAGTATTATAAGAAGAGACTGCTATAGAAAAATGGGCTATTAATATAAAGGCTAAGTATTTTTCTTCATTCAATGTTAGCGGTGTTTTTATGTCCTAAAATGCATTAAATTCATTTTTGGTATAACATCTCCTAAATATAAGACAAGATTTTACTTATTTAGAAGGCTTTTTGGTTTTGATTTGTTTTTTTTTACCCCTGTAGTGGCTTCTAAATGCATGCCTAGAGTCACTCAATGCAGCTCAAAAGCAATCGTGAAAACAGTCTCCAGTATCCACTCAGATCAACATTCAGGCCACGATGAAATGGGTGTTTTCTTCTCTTTTTTTCCCTCTTAACACAACTCTCATTTCCTGGTAGATCAGTGAGACAATGAAGCATTCAAGAGAATTTTCAGCAATTGAAACTGCAAATTGCAAAACAACTAAAATATCTAACATGACTTGTGCTTGGCTGAATCTCCAAGTTCTCATTTCTTTTCAGATTCATTATACTTAGAGGTTCTATTGCATATGCAGTTATTCAATTAATTCCAACAGGATTGGAGGTTTCCAGGGAAAATGTACAAGATGGACATATATGTATCCCATTAGCATAAATGCTCAGAATCAAGACTGAGGATCTAAACATGATGAGATAATTTTTTTTCTTCCTCTTTTAAAGCAATTTAAACAAGTCTTTGTATTGTTGAAAGGCAGACTGATAACCTAAAATTGTAAAAATCCTTGTTTATGAGGGAAGCAGGGATATCAGAGTGGACATTTTTCTGAGCTGCTGCAACTAACAAGCAGGAAAGAGAATTCAAACCCAAAGTTGGTGGTCTCTCTTTTTTTTTTTTAATCTTTCTTTCTTTTTTTTGTCTTTTTTTATTTTATTTTATTATTATTATACTTTAAGTTTTAGGGTACATGTGCACAATGTGCAGGTTAGTTACATATGTATACATGTGCCATGTTGGTGTGCTACACCCAGTAACTTGTCATTTAGCATTAGGTATATCTCCTAATGCTATCCCTCCCCCCTCCCCCCACCCCACAACAGTCCCCAGAGTGTGATGTTCCCCTTCCTGTGTCCATGTGTTCTCATTGTTCAATTCCTACCTATGAGCGAGAACATGCGATGTTTGGTTTTTTGTCCTTGCGATAGCTTACTGACAATGATGATTTCCAATTTCATCCATGTCCCTACAAAGGACATGAACTCATCATTTTTTATGGCTGCATAGTATTCCATGGTGTATATGTGCCACATTTTCTTAATCCAGTCTATCATTGTTGGACATTTGGGTTGGTTCCAAGTCTTTGCTATTGTGAATAGTGCCACAATAAACATACGTGTGCATGTGTCTTTATAGCAGCATGATTTATAGTCCTTTGGGTATATACCCAGTAATGGGATGGCTGGGTCAAATGGTATTTCTAGTTCTAGATCCCTGAGGAATCGCCACACTGACTTCCACAATGGTTGAACTAGTTTACAGTCCCACCAACAGTGTAAAAGTGTTCCTATTTCTCCACATCCTCTCCAGCACCTGTTGTTTCCTGACTTTTTAATGATTGCCATTCTAACTGGTGTGAGATGGTATCTCATTGTGGTTTTGATTTGCATTTCTCTGATGGCCAGTGATGGTGAGCATTTTTTCATGTGTTTTTTGGCTGCATAAATGTCTTCTTTTGAGAAGTGTCTGTTCATGTCCTTCGCCCAATTTTTGATAGGGTTGTTTGTTTTTTTCTTGTAAATTTAAGTTGGTGGTCTCTTTAGACTTAGACGTCTCTGCTGGATTTAGATCTTACTCTTAAACTTAGACCAAAGTGGCAAAAGCCCTCTTTTGTTTTCTTGGTTGGGTTTGGATGTTCTTAAAAATTTAAAACTTGCTGATTGCTAAATTATCTTATTTTGCTTAACCTCCAATCTACTTCTATGATATGGAACAGTCGTTTAATATACCCACATAACACTGAGAAGAGAGAAATGCCAACTACAGGCTTTGCCTATCTGTCAACACATTTAACTATTGATGATATTAATGTCACAATTTATGAAGCTGTGTTTATTCAGCTGAAAAACTGAGGAGCAACAAGTCATCTCACTTTATTCCAGAATTACTTTTTAATCATTTAAATATTTCGTTTCTAACTCAGGGATAGTGAGAGCAAGTGGACATCTCTTCTGCATAAGTATGAGTTAGACATTCTTCAAGCTATGATTATAGAAATTAAAGAAAAAATGGTTTTCATTCAAATTAGGACTTCTATGAAATGAGCATATCTTGTTAAATACGTCATCATTTTCAATAGTTTACAGTTGAATATGCACTATTTCCCAGAAAAAAAAAATACTTTCAGAGTTTTCAATGCTGATTTTCTTAGATTCCTACCTAGAAATAAATTAACAAATGCACAGACAAATAAAACAAGAATTCTGCTTCCTGTAATGGTAGACCAGAAAACTCAGAACCACCTTTCCATTGAGAACTACTGGAAGGAAAAAAAAGGACAACATTTAAAAATAAGTTTTTAAAGGCATCTCTGGCCTCTACTTACTAGATATCAGCAGTGTTTTCTCAGTTAATGACAGTCAAAAATGTCTTCTCATTACCAAATCTTCCCAGCAGACGAAAATTGCCTGGGGTTAAGAACCACTGCTCTACTGGAAGAACCAGCTAAGGAAAGAAGGAAAGAAGGAAGGAAGGAAGGAGGGAGGGAGGGAGGGAGGGAAGGAATGAAGGAAGAGGAGAAAGAAAGAGAAAGACAGAGACGGACAGACACACACACACAGAGACAGAGACCAGAAATTCTAACATAAATCTAATACAAGATTGGCAAGGCTTGCACACAGAAAACTATAAAATATTTTTAAAAAATAATAAAGAGGATTTAATAAATATTGAAGTTTTAGAACACTTAGTCAAAATTGCAAAGAATCACCATACCAGATATCCAGTATTGGAAGATTGAATTATTAAATATTATAAAATATTAAAATACTATTAAAATTGTACTGTCTCTATAAACTGATCAGTAGATTCAATACACATGGAAAACCTATCAATCTAAAAATAGACAAGAGACCTGAGTAGGCATTTCACAAAAGACACCCAAACGGTCAACAAATATACAAAAAGCTGACTACCCTCATTAGTCATCAGGGAAGTACATATTAAAGCTACAATGAGATTCTATACCTGCCCATAAAATGGCTAAAATTAAAATGACAGTGTTTATGAGAATATAGAGTAATTGCAACTCTTATAAGTACTAGGTGAAAATATAAATTGATATAACCACTTTGGCAACTAGATGGACATTATCTAATGAGTTTGAAAATGTGCAGTTCCACACTTAGATGTACACCAACAGAAAGGCATGTGCTTGCTGCATAGGAAAGCCATGTCCAAGCATGTTCATTCTAGCAAAACAGCCACAAATCAGATACAATCCAAACACCCATCATTGGTAGAACGCATAAGTAAATTATGGTATACTGATACCATGAAACACTCAATAGCAATTCATTGAGCAAACTATAGCTATGCAACATGGACGACTCTCCCAAAAGAATGCCCAGAAAAAAAGGCTAGACACAAAATAATATACATGGTGGGATTCCATTCATATATAATTCAACAACTACTGAATTAGAGTGTTTCTGGATGGGTGCTTGGGAAGTACAACTCTCATAAAAGTTAGAAACAAGTTTTTTGGTTTTTCTTTTCAATCTATCAAAGAAATTTATTTTTATGTACATACGCAAAATTTGTAATATATGACAACAAATAGGATTTTAAAAGTTCAAACTAGAAAATAATTAAATTACATTATACTAACAAAATCAACATTGATTATTTATAACTAATCCTTTCACAAAATCTATTGGTACTAAGTAGCTGTAGAAATGTGTGGATACATTCTTCCTAGACCATATATCACTTAGAAAGAAGTTTCAATACAATTCAGGACAGTGTCTTCCTTTGGTGTGAAACATAGGCAAGCAATTAGAAAGGTCTTGAAGGAGTTTCTTTGGGAGCTGTCAATGTTCTGTTTCTTGACTCAAAGGAATTAAGTGAGAATTGATGGAGCTGCCTCCATTGTGTGTGTGTGTTTTTCTGTGTATGTCTTTACGTGCATTCTTCCATATAAGTCTTATGTTTCATAATAGAAAATATATAAAAGAAAGCAAACACACAAAAAGCCACTGATATAAACTGGCAGTTTCTAAATTTCTGAAAAATACGTTGAGTTTTACTCTTGGATTAAAGTTAATTTATTTTTCTCGGATGCATTGCTCTTCCAGTGATTATCTATTTGAGGGTAGTAAAGAGAAAAAAGAAGTGAAAGAGAACAGTGAGATAAATATAAACAAACAAGGAAAAAAGATAAAACCCAGAAATAAAACGTAATAGAAAACAATGGATAAGTAAATGTATTTTGAGCTTAAATAAAGCACAGGAAAATCATAGCCCTTACTCTCACCTAGATTATTGTCCTCTAAGTCTAGCTATTATACGATGGCAAACAGAAACCACCATTTAAAACTTTACAGCATCACGAGGCAGAAAGCCTCTCTTTAAATATGAATATGCTATCTGTGGTAAGTAACACATGGTCACCTATGAACAGTTTAATTTCTTAATCAGGTCATCTCCCTGGAGACTCTTTCTAAGTTCTGATTGAGGGAGAAAAACAAACTTTAGTATAAGCTGTTTGAGGTTAGGAACCACGTCTTCCTCTTTTTTTTTTTTTCCTTCCTTTTTTTTTTTTTTGGATCAAAGTTTGAAGTAAAGATTATAAACGTAAGAGAGCATCAGACACAATTCTCTTCTATAGGATAGTCATTTAAAGTTTTTCAATTTAGAGTTCACTGTCAAACAGAAATTCTCTTTTGAAAGGCCAGAAAAATGGGCCCAATTTAAGAACATAAAAGACAGTAGAAGGGTAATAGAAGGATCTACTTCTATCACATAAGACATGCAGTAGGTAAAATGACTCTTTGTGGTTATTCTGCAACATGTCTCACTGTTTCCTTCTGTTCTTGACACAACTTTGATCTCTACTCAATCTTAGACTTTTTCTTCTACATTTAAATTGTCAGAGGCGTTGGAGCCAGAGTGACTCCATCTTGAATAGGGGCTGGGTAAAATGAGGCTGAGATCTACTGGGCTGCATTCTCAGGAAGTTAGGCATTCTTAGAGGATGTTTATGGTTAAGAAAACACGTTAATAATGTTTACCAAACAGATCCAGAATTTACCAGACCCAGGACTTAACAGATTCATGAAATGTCCTGATGTCCCTATGTCTTAAGAACAAAAGCATTCCTATTTTAAGAATAAGTTTCGCTTTAAAAAGATAATAATACAGATTCTTGTGGAAAACAGTAATTACACGAAGATTAACAATCTTTTATCAGGCATTCTTGTAGTAGAGCACATCTACCCCATGATTTTTTGCTTTTGTTACCTTATATTGAAACAAGTATTGTGCCTAAGGTGGGCACATTCTTTCTCATGCTTTTGGAAACACTCCCCTATGTCTATGGCATAGTCATTCTTTTATTCCTTTACATTCTCAATAAACTTGCTTTCACTTTACTCTGTGGACTTTTCCTGAGTTCTTTATTGTTCTAGATCCAACAACCCTCTCTTGGGGTCTAGATCAGGATCCCTTTCCAGTAACAAAATGAGGACTTAAAATCTGTTGTTAGATCTTCAATTGTTGAACCTTAATTAGAAGTCTCAGAGTGAATTATCTCCTCTTATTACATCTTGAGTACCATGTGGCCAAGCCATAACACACACATCCAAGTCAGCACCCGCTGAACAGGTTCTTGAGTTGAAGAAACATGAATTCTGGACCTGGAGAGAATAACATGCCCAGAGTTTCAGCTTGCAAGGAAGCACCATATATACCTTCCCAGTACCAGGCAGGCAAGTAAGCAAATGAGTCCCAAATGCGAGCAAGAACCAAGCACATGGCAGAAAGCTGGGAACAGGACATTCCACTCTGCATTTGGCAGATGGCAAAATGTGCTAAGAAGCTAGCTGTCCTTAGCTAAGAATCTAGGTTAGGCAGCAATGGGAAATAAGACGCCTCCTTTGAGTCTTAACCCATCAAGCCCAATTGCCAAAGAGTTCAATAGAAAGAAAGAGAAAACAATCTGATGTGTCAGGGATTTTATTAGCTTCCCCTAACTGATAACTGGGGGGCTCTGATATACCCATGAAACTGCCACAGTCAAATAAAATACAAAATGACAGAGATCGAGTAAAGCCAAGCTAGGGTTTCAAACAGCCTGCCGCCTCTGCTTGTCAGATTACTCTCTCATCTTGGGTCACAGGGAGGTGTGAAAGAAGGCGAACAGACAAAATGCCTCAGGCATCACTCACAAATATACTAAAGAGGACATTCAAAAGTTGGTCACACTAGAATGATTCTTCCAGGCAGGCATGATGGCAGAAAGTGAGGGTATGAGACTACAAATTGTCAGAGACTGATAAGAAAATAACCTATTCGCTGCAAAAAATGCATTCTACTTCCCAGGCACAGAAAGCACCTTCTAAAAATGGGATATGCACGTGGGAGGGGACAGCAAAGCATAAATGAAATCAGGTAACTTAGCTTATAATGTGAACAGCTCGTCATGGTGTTAATGAAGCCAGTGTATGAATAAAATCACAATCCTTTCAAAAACAATTTGTGTTCTGCAAATACATGTATTTAACTCTTTTGTGTTAGATCCTACTTGTGTAGTCTGAAATCTGATTACTTAACAAAATACAAATAAATAAAAATACACATCATTTCCTTGTACTAGAGCCCCATTATAAAGCAAGGGCCATGAGAGAAAAACAATGTTTGTAAATTTGGGGCTAAACACTCTGTGACTAAGATCTTTCCGAGACAGATAAGCTCGGGAAATAAATGGGCTTGAATCTAACAGCCCTTGTGGCCCTTGTACATTTTCAGTTGCCAACAAGAGTAGTCTGCCACTTTCAGAATATTATTCAGGTATCCCAAGAAGATGCTTGGCTTTCTTTATTAAGGAAATCTAAACTGCCTGCTAAGGAAATTCTGTGTCAAGAAATAGCACCAGAAAGAACACATTTCTTCCATGCATAGAACCTTTTAGTCACAGCATCTTCTCACCCTGTTTTTCCAAGATCTAGAAATCTAAGGATGCCAATTAATACATGAACACATTTAATTTACAAATCTCCAAATAGTACCATTTCCAGTAGTATTAAAATTATGATTGCCAACCCATTAAATGCATGCATGAAAACTAGAATGCATTTACATAATCACAGATGGGAATTAACTTACTTTTCTTCTCTGTCTGCTCCCATGTGGTGTATTCATTTTGTGTTAAGGGTGAAATTGAATTTGCATAGAACCTCTCTAGGAGACTGCACAGACAGGAGATCTAAATGATAAATAACCTACTTCTACCTCTTGAGCATTCGGGACCCAAGTAGTATGATGACTTAACAAGATCACTGAACCAGAAGTCAGAAGGGAAAGTTCAAGGCCAAACTCTGCAGCTTACTCATTGGTTAATTAATCCATATTAATTTCCTGGCTATAGTTTGACCTTTAAAGATAATCCAGACATACTCAAGCTCATTGCCTATTTGTAAAACTGTTCCAGTGATAAACAATTGCATTTTTTTTGAATTACCAGAAAATCAAATAGCTAGGTGTATTTGTCCATTTTCACACTGTGATAAAGACAAACCTGAGACTGAGAAGAAGAAGAAGAAGTTTTAATGGACTTACAGTTCCACATGGCTGGGGAGGCCTCCCAATCATGGTGGAAGGCAAGGAGGAGCAAGTCACATCTTACATGGATGGCAGTAGGCAAAGAGAGAGAGCTTGTGCAGGGAAACTCCCATTTTTAAAACCATCAGATCTTGTGAGACTTATTCACTCTCAAGAGAACAGCACAGAAAAGACCTGCCCCATGATTCAATTATCTTCCACTCCTACAGGCTCCCTCCCACAACACGTGAGTATTCAGGACAAGATTTGGGTGGGGACGCAGAGCCAAACCATATCACTAGGTCTTAAAAGATTCTGAGAAATGATGTAGCCCAGAGTTAAAGCTCTATAACTGTTATAGAATGCAAGAGCCATCTGTTCTAGATCACTGCCATGCTGCACCACACTGAAGCCTGCAGCAAGAGGAAAATCAGTATTACCAATTCTGTCTGAATTTAAGATTTTGGTATGTTGTTTGTGAATTTTGGCATTTTAGCATTAATTTTAATTTTTAAAAATTATTGTGTTAAAATATTATCTTGATTACAGAGTGCTTTGGAATCCCCTTAAATTGTATACCCCAAGAAAGTGCCTCACTCACCTCTCCCTAGTCCAGCTGTGTTTCTAGATTCTTCTTCTAAACCCCCATGTATTGGTCCAGTTAATATAAAGGCAAATAATGAATAAGGACACTCACATGCTTAACCTTTTCCTACTGAGAATATTTAGATTCAAACTGTGGCAGAAGAATCCATTCAGAACCTAATGTCTTAATAAATTTAATACTGTTCTAAGAATATTAAGAAATAGAACTTTAAATTAGAGGAACAATAATCCTAAAAGGATCAAGCGTTTCATGAAAGTACAACAGAAGTGTTCTGGGGACAGCTGATTTAGGATTAGATAAGCAAATACAAATGACAACTATTGGCTTTAAATTTTCATTGAGAGTCATAGCACATTATTTTAATCATGGATGAACATTATGAGTTATTTTAAAGAAGGCACCATAAGTTCTAGCTACTTGGAAGCTGAGGCAAAAGGGATCACTTGAGCCCAGGCTCAAGTGTCAAGGCTGCACTGAGTCATGATCATGCCACTGAACTCCAGCATAGGCTTCAAGAAAAAAATAAAACTTAAAATTAAAAACACCCTAAACAAATACAAAACATGCTGCTTTAGTTACTACCCTGGGTTCCCATTGCTTTGTGTTCCCCTATTCTTTTGAACCTCCTCAAGTTTCTGCTACCATGCACTGCACAGAGTATGTACCCTGGTTCTGTCTCTCACTGATAGAAGCTGGGCCTGGATTTGTAGTTCGTGTTATGATCATGTAATTATGTCAGGTTCTATGATTCTTGAGTTTTTGTATACCACGGAATTTTGCATGGTGATATATCCTAGGGTAGTGCTCAATAAGAAATCACTGAATGAATGAATTCATAAATGAATGGGGTAAATGTATGAACGTATAAATAACAAGACAATTTTCAAAACTGTGAGCTAACCATCCCTTAGCAACTAACCCTAAGCATTTCATGTTTTTCAAAATTCTCTCTGAAATTTAATTTTCTCCTTAAGTGGCAAGGATAAAATGAAATAATCCAGGCAATCGGTGAAATACACTGATAACTTGGGGGTGTATTGCAGAAAGGCTACCTTACACATTATGATTTGAAATTCCTAAGGGGGTCTTCATGGTAGCCTTTGGGTGATGTGCTCTGTAATAACCCATTCTGAAGAAGACCCTACAGCACAATAAAGAGTCTGAAAACCTGGAACAGGAAATAGGTTAAAGTGTACAGGAAAGTTATTAGTTAGGTCAGCAGTTAAGGGATTTATCTGGTGCCCGTATGCCCATAGCATTGAACAAACCAGGAAAATAGATGTGGTCTGACCTTTAGATTTCACTGCACCATAATTAACTTCAAAAATCAGCTAAGCAGACTGTCTGAGGGAGCAATGCTCACTCACCCACATCAATACAGCTTGGATATTAGGCTGGAAATACATATACATCAAAAAATTAGGCAGAGGGCTTTTATATAACTTATAATATAGACACCCTTGCAGAGTTTGGAAACAGATTCACAAAATTGCAAAATCTAGATCCTAGACAATCAAAAGAATAAAAACACACGGAATGATCACTTATCTCCCTATAAAATACCTTTAAAAATGAATGTATCCCTAAAAATGGCTTGTGAAGAAACAACTTACTTTTTAAAAATAGGACGAACATTTTATCTTTAACAAAATGAAGTAGGCAAGTAGTCACGAAATAGTAGCACTATGAAAAAGGGATGCTGGCTAATTATAGCGATTACATTTTTGTGCCTGCATGTCACATATGGGCATTAAAATCTGTCTTTATGGTGAAGCAGTTTCAGGGTCATATGCCAACTCCACAACTTCAGCAGTCTTCACTGGTAATGAGCATGGCCTCTACTGATGTAAAAATGCATCCGAGTCAAGACTTGAGTCTTTAAGCTCTCCTGAGAGATTTGCCTTAATGCAGGGCCTGCTTATTTTCCCGAGTCTGTCATTCCCTGAAAGCAGAGGAGATATGCCCTTTTCATTCCCTACTCCTGAAGTAATTACAGGCTCAGGTAATGGGTCAGTGGGGCACTTGGGACTTCTACATGCCAAGAGGAGAGAAATCAATGTCAACACTCACACGCACACGCACACACACACAAATACACACACACACACACACACACAGCCCAGTGGTAGTCAGGAAGCACTGCCACTTGTCCTAGGGAATCACCAGAACCTTGATGGCATCTCTAGTAAAGACAAACTGTGTCTCAGAATCAAGACTCCATATTTTATCCTCATCCTGGGAGAATGGCTGTAGAAGAAAGGACAACAAACATGTCAGTGAAAAGTAAATTGTCCTCTACGTTTTCTTGGCTAAGTAGCCTTATGGGAAATCAAATATTTTGAACAAATACCCCTGTGAGCTTATTGTTCCCAGCATGCTGGTGTGTGACTAGCAGCCCAGAGAATAATTTATGTAAAGATCACTTTGCCCATTTTTTTCAGGCCTAAAAATATTTTGGGTTAGCACCGCTGTTAAAGGGTCCCAAGGTCTGCTGATTTAGTACTGGTCATGCCTCTCATTTCAGCCCATGAAATATTTCATGGCTCACTCCTTAAGGATTAATCTAACTAGCTCTTTCTGCAGGCCCCTACTCATCTCTGACTTGCTAACATCACAACTTTAACATTGTGAACAAGCACAATGCCAAGTGCACATATAGGTCTGTGTGCCCAAGACACCTCCAGAGAAAGGACAGACACGCCATCCATCCTGAGTGTTCACAATCGACCTTGGGCCACCTGGAACTAGCTGGAAGGAGATGCCTCTGTGAGAGTATTTCATGATTATAATTATTTCCTATTCGATTTGTTATGCTATATCTCACATGTAAAGTAAAATTACACTGTTATTAGGAAAGCAAAAAAGACAGCCATCCAAATAAATGTTAATTGTGTGGAACAAGATGAAGGTGAAGGTGCTACAGGATTAAAGGGTGCATGTCTTCCTCCCCCATGGTCTGGATAGTAACGACACCCATTACATAAAAATTGAATCTCCAAAATATGCTCTGTGTGGTTATCTTTCAGATGCCACATGCAAGGATGGTAGCCCTCTCTCTATCTTAAAACAGGCTCTCTCCATTCCTCTGCCCATTTTTTTTGCAAGCTTTCCTTGGAAGCTATTAGAATTAGGTTATTTACTACACAAGATATATGAGTGCTCAGGGCTTATCAAGAGATGGGACCAGCACAACTAGACATCCGATCCCCGAGACCTCTGCTACACAGGTAGCTCGGTGTTTCTTTCTCTCCCTCCCTCCGGCTTTCCCTTTCTTTCTTCCCTTTCTCCTTTCTTCCCCACCTCCCTTCCTTTGTCCCTTTTGTCCTGCTTCTTCTATCTTTCTTTTCTCTGACTCTACTCCCTTTCTTCCCTTTCTTCTTTCCCTCCCTCCCTTGTACCTATTGTCCTCGTTCTCCTTTTTCTGTCTCTCTCTTTTCTCTGACTTTACTTCAACACTGAAACAGTTTCTTTCTCCTTTCTATTTATTTGCTGTGAACATTATAGTGTTTGAAACTAAGAGGTTGCTAAAAATTCTTCTTTAATTAGAACTATTATCTTAGAACAAGTAAATTTATATATGTCTCTCCTGATACTCAGAGTAAATCACAAAAACTCCCCTTACTCTTTTCTCATTTCATGCTAAGGGTATAAGGGAAATGGAAAGTCTCCTAAGTGGCTGGGCACAGTGGCTCACACTGTAATCCCAGCAGTTTGGGAGTCTGAGGTAGGTGGATCACTTGAGGTCAGGAGTTGCAGACCAGCCTGCTCAACATGGCAAAACCCCTGTCTCTACTAATAATACAAAAATTAACCAGGCGTGGTGGTGCCTGCCTATAATCCCAGCTACTTGGGAGGCTGATGCAGGAGAATTGCTGGAACCTGGGAGGTGGAGGTTGCAGTGAGCTAAGATTGTGCCACTGCACTCCAGCCTGTGCAACAAAGCAAGACTCTGTCTCAAACAAAAAAAAAAAAAAAAAGAAAGAAAGAAAAGAAAAGAAAAGTCTCTTAAGTGAGTGAAACTCATATACCTCTAACTTCTAGCTGAAATTAGGTGAATCCTCTGCTAGTTCAGACTCCAAGGCAACAATGTTGACAACTCTTATTTAGAACAACTCTCATTACAATATAAATAACATGTAATAGTAATAGAATTTACCTTTATTATCTTCTTGCTATGACCCTGAAGCCCCTTTTTTGGGGTTCAAACCTCCTTTAGGAACTTACTAGTTATTCAGATAAAAACAGATTAATCCCTACCTGTTGTCAATCATTAGAGGACAAATATATAGTGCTCAACAAATATTAGCTATTATTATTATTAAAGAACTGGGCAAGTTAATTCCCATTCCATTTCACAGAATAGGAAATTAAGGCTCAGGTTTTACTTGTTGAAACTGCACAGCTAGGAAGAAACTAGCAACGGCAGAATTGAAACTATATTCTGGGGATCTCCATGTGCTTGCATCATTTAGAGCTTTGTGGGTAAAGTATTTCAGGAAAGATTCAGATTACAATGTAATTAAAACATGTCAAAGGGCATAGTAGGAAGCTAGAAGGACTCCTACTGCTTGAATCTGGGACAATTCGAATATCAAAATAAGGAATGATAATAACAGGTAATAACCCATTGAATAAAATAAAGATCATGAGTCCACATGAATATAAATGAATAAATAAATACATAGGGGGAAGAAAATGTTCTTCTTTCAGGAGACAAACCAATACAAATGGAAGGAACTATAGGAGTTGAAACTTACCATTTGGCAACTTATTAGTAATAACTGATTTAGGCAAGAAACATAAGTGGCTATTAAAACTAATGGAGAAAAGGAACATGAGGAATAGGCCGTTATTCTGCATCAAAATACCTCTCTACAGAATACAAATTACTATTACTATTATTATTATTATTGAGAAGAGGTCTTGCTATGTCACACAGGCTGGAGCATGGCGCCATCACAGCTAACTGCAGCCTTGAATTCGTGGGCTCAAGCAATCCTCTCTGTCTCAGCCTCCAGACTAGCTGGGACCACAGGCACATACCACCACAGCTGGGCTTATTTTTAAAAACGTTTTGTAGGGATGGGGTCTCCCGTATGTGACTGAGGCTGGTCTCAAACTACTAGGCTCAAACAATTCTCATGCCATAGCCTCCCAAAGTGATTGGATTACATGTGTGAGCACTGTTCCCAGCCAGAAAACAAATTATAAAGGGGGGCAAAGTAACTTTAAAGTAGGGAAATCTGGCAGTAACCATATTAATAAATGTCTAAGTTATCACCATCAATCATGGGACAAATTGATGTCATATGCCACCCAATGTGATGCAATGAGAACAACAGCATCAGTTCTGTGCTAGCCCAACTCAAAATGCATAACTTAGGTCTAATCATCACGAAACACTGGATAAATTCATGTTGATGGACATTCTATGAAGTGACTGGCTTGTAATCTTCAAAAGTCTCAAGGTCATGAAGGTCAAAGAAAAATGGAAAAAGTGTTACAGATTGAAAGAAACTAGAAAATAGGAAAACTATGTACAATGAATGATCCTGGATCTTACCCTTTACTTTCAAGGATATTATTGGGATAATCGGCAAAATCTTAGTAAGGTCTCTGTAAAAAGAGAACATAAGAATTCTTTCTACTATTTTTACAACTTTTGTAGTATTCTTGCAACTTTTCATTGCTTGGAATTGTTTCAGAATTAAAAAAAAAACTCTATTCTGAAAATGAAACATAGTACCATTCTACACTGAGCTAACAATTTTGAGATGATATAAGTCAAAATATTCAAATAACAATTCTAAAATCAATTTCTAGTTGTGAAATTTAGACAATGTACTCTGTAGGAAGTCAGAGAACAGGGGCATTTTAGGGTACTGATGTAATCTGAGAAGGCATCAGCTGATGCCTTCAGCTGACTGAGTTGTGTAGCCTCAAAATTGATACGTTGAAGCTCTAACCCCCAATGTGACTGTATTTAGAGACAGGGCTTTTAAGGAGGTAATTAAGGTTAAGTGAGGGCACAACAGTGAGACTCTAATCCAATAAGACTGGTATCCTTATAACATGAGGAAGAGACATCAAATCTCTCTCTCTCTGTTTCAGTATGCAAACAAAAGAAAGTCATGCGAAGACACAGTAAGAAGGTGGCCTTCTGCAGAAGAGGAAGAGAGCCCTTACCAGTAAATGAATTTGCCTGCATATTAATCATGGACTTCTAACCTCCAGAACTGTGAGCAAATAAGTGTCTGTTGTTAAAGTTACCCAGTCCATGCTATTTTCGATGGAAGCCCTAGCTGACTAGTACAGCATTATAATAAAGACCAGATACGTTTTGAGCCTTAAAAGATGTATGAAAATCAAATATGTATGCTTCAATCTGGTCTAATTTATTGCTATACTCATCTATCTTCCCCAATCAAGTTTAAGCTACTTCAAGACATATATTATTTTAAAATGACATCAGGTCCAGCATATAGAAGTTAGGCACATAATTTTATAAATAAATGCCTTTATGATATTTTAAGATTAGTAGAGAAAAACCATATAGGTGGCAACAGGATGTAGTGTTAGCAGGATAATGGCCTAGGTGTCCCAGACATAGAAGGGCAACCGGGAAGTGATCAGCCCATTTCTTCATAAATCAACAACAACTGACTCAATTTACACCTTTCAATGCTTTAAAGATGGAGAAAACTAAAAACAGAAGATATATGAATGTGAACAAAAGATTGTCTACATTAGCTCATTAATCAGTTGGATAGAAAATTAAATGTATTAAGCAATTTATTATTGCATGGGCACAGTAATACAACTTTTTGTCTCACTAGGTTTTAGTCCCTTCAACCTTAATATCACACCCTAAAGACTTATCTTCAAGTACAGTGAAGTCCACCTCCACTTTTTGTTTCATCTTTTCTTCCTTTCTTCTTTCTTTCTTTTGATGTGTATTTTTAACTACATTATCTAGCTTTGTAAACCCTTTGAGAATGTATTTTGTGTAAAATGTACCACTCTAAATATTAATACATTTTACTTCATTATAAAGTAGTTATGATATTTTTAGCATAGTAATTATGGTAATGCTATCACAGACGAGGATCATAATAATAATTATCATATCACAAACTGCAAGCTGATTTTTAAACAATTGCTTAGACTCTCTGCTTAATGCTTCTTTTCCTTCTATTTTGCTTCTCTCTCCCTAGCGGTATCTAGTAGAATAAAGCTAAAGAAGATCTAGAATTCACTATGAGGCTATAAACTTCAATCTAAAGCATAGCCCCTCCATTATATTTATTTTGATGTCTTTAATTGCCTTATTTTTCTTAGCTTATATCTTCTCCACTCCTTAATTTTGAGTCTCCCATGGAATCACACAAACAAAATCTAGAGGCCAGCACAACTAACCATTCAACTGCAAATTCAAACTCTACTTTTCATCCCCTTTTCTCTATTTTACTCAACTAGAGATCTGACCACGCAGTTGTTAGGTTACTCTTAAATGATTTATTGAAAGTTACACTTCTTATTTTTACAAGCTCTTGTTAATTTTCTCTTCTTTTTTATTCTTTTTTAGCTACAAGGCCTCACTGTCATCTAGGCTAAAGTGCAGGGGTGCAATCATAGCTCGCTGTAACCTTGGGCCCTCAGGCTCAAGCGATCTTCCTGCCTCAGACTCCTGAGTAGCTAGGACTATAGACTTGCAGGACCATACCTGGCTAATTATTTTTTAAAATTTATTTATTTATTTATTATTACTATACTTTAAGTTTTAGGGTACATGTGCATAATGTGCTGGTTAGTTACATATGTATACATGTGCCACGCTGGTGTGCTGCACCCATTAACTTGTCATTTAGCATTAGGTATATCTCAGGGTCTTGTCATGTCTCCCAACTCCTGACCTCTGAAATCAATGGGATTACAGCCTTCAGCCACTGTGCCTGGCCACTGGTGTTTTTCCATATTATTTCTTGCACATTTCTGTGTATTCATGCTCATTTATACCTTTGAGGAATAGTTACCGACTGCCTACTCTGTATGCACACATTTTAGAAGAATAAGTGTTTTTGTGGTAGGATGAAAAAAACCCCATACCCTCCAAAAAAAAAAAAAAAAAGATATCCATATCCCAATCCCTAGAAATTGTTAATTTACATGGTAAAAAAAGACATTACGGATATAAATAAATTAAGGATTTTTAAAATGAGGAGGTTATCCTGGTTTATCTAAATAAGCTCAATGCAATAACAAAGGTCTTATGAGTTGATTCAGGAGGGTCTGAATCAGGATAGGAGGAGGAGCAGGAGTTTGAAGGAATATAAGGAAGGGGCCATGAGCCAAGAAATTCATTGATGCTTTCACTTTAGCTGGTTAGACTGAATTTAGACTTCTAGCCTTTAGAATTTAAAATAATACATTTATGTTGGTTTAAGCTACTAAATTATTGGTAATATGTTACAGCAGCAATTGGATGCTAATATAGTTTTGTTTCATGTTCTTAGAGCAAGTCAAACACACTATTTGAAAGATTTTTCCCTCTCAAATCTATTAGCAAAGACAACTGCTTCTTCTGATATCCATGGGGACAGAAACAGACCATCCAGTCATCTGAAGACTGGTGAACAGTCATCTCTACATTTTGATGTGCTCACCTCCTTCAGACTTCATTCTGTGGTTAAGCAGGTTTCCTGAAATGAGCACTGGCAATAACAATTGGAATAAATTTATATTAAACCTCTATAAAAAGACTGCAAAGCAGAAAATGTCCATTCTAATCAGAGGTACTAAATGTGAGTGGAAATGTCTAAATTTTTAAAATTGCAAAACAGATAAATAGGCTTTGTTGACTTCTGTTGCCAACTGTAATTATCATTGTGATAATAGAAGTTAATTGCACTCTCAAAATGTGTAGTAATAGCAAGACATAATCATAAATGATAAGCTTTCATTTAATATAGAGTTCTAGAGTAGATTATCTAAATTAATGTTATTACATTATTTCTGTCCTCTATTATTTATTAGACCCAGTTAAGCACATCCAAATATTAGGTGGCCTCAGAAAATATTAAATGAGATTAGAAAAATATAATTAGAATAATAGAAAAAATAGATATTTAGAAATCATTTAAAATTTATTTGAGCCCAAGGCAAAACTAATAAATCATGATGCAATCACTGGAGACATTCAGAGTAGAAAATGCTTTACCCAAATGGTCTCTCTGCTCCATCTCTCTATATTGTATCTATTAGCTGCATGCATTCTTATGAAGATATAAAGTAATCTAAAATTATTCTATAAAATTCCATCAAAGTTTCACTGAAAAATTCAGAAGTTTAGCTTTCAGCTTATGCTATAATTTGCAGTCCAAATTTAAGAATTCCACAGGGATTCTGAGACTTTTGACAACCTCGTGATGTGTTGTCAAAAAACAATATGAAACAAGAATGCTGATGAATCTTTCAGATAGTAAGAATTGGGCTAAAAGTGACAGAATCCTAAAGGGAGATGATACTTGTAGCTTTATGATCTTCTAGTTATAATGCCTTAAAAAGGTACATCTCCTTCAGAAGAGGAATGAGAAAAATAGATAGTACATATTTCATTACAAAGTCCTTCTTCCCAGTTGGGACACTGTCTGTACATATCTTCTACCCACTAATTCAACATCTAAAGCAATACAAGTTTTATTACAAAACCAATCTGTTTTCATCATATAACACAAATGGATCCTAAAAGCTTAAATACTCTGGTCCCGGCCTAAAATACCTTGGGAAAAGTCTGTAAATATTACCACAAAATGAAATGGGTTAATAAGGAAATCATAATGTCACTGATTGGTATCATCTTAAAATTCCGATTTTAAACATTTCTCATTTATAATTCTGTGGGTGACGACTTTTTTTAAAGCACTTTAATCTCACTACCAAGGTATTCTATTAGTTATTCTGTCAGACTGACTCAGTTATTGTTGCCAAGGAAACAGCCAGGAAACAGGAGTTAAGCAGACTCTTTCATCTGGCGAGGGGATGATGGGAATGGATGAGAGAGTAGAGCAAGGTCAGGCGTTTATCGCTGAATACAAATCTGTCATGCCTAATAGATGAAGCTCTTTAGTGTCTGCGCTGCTCAGGCTACTCCCAGCAGCCAAGGAGAAAATAAAAAAGACACTCAAGCATGAATGCCAATCAGCCTGTGCTGGCAACAGTGATGTATTTACATGTGCCATAGCAGCTGCACTAGGCTTCACTATTGATGAGAAGATAAATTAAATAGGTGTCAATAATTATGGAAGGTCAGAATCTAAATCCTAGAGTTACATTAATAAGGTCAGATAGATGGGATTTGGCTGATTTATCCCATTAGCATGCCTAACGCTTCCTTTTTAGGGGGTCAGAGTTCAAAACATGTCATGAGCTCAAATGTATTGAACTGAGAAAACTTATCAGCCTTATGATCATTTTCCCAAATCAACAATCTTTTGATGTATGTTGACAAATGTCATATACCTAGGTCTCATTTCGAGCAATAAGATGTGCTATGCAATAGTAACGTGTTATTCAAAATTTTTATCATCAATATTAAGTCTATGTAAGCACATTTTATTATTTATTTTATATTAATATTAGTTTTTTGAGACAGAGTCTCGCTCTGTCGCCCAGGCTGGAGTGCAGTGGTGTGATCTTAGCTCACTGCAACCTCCGCCTCCAGAGTTCAAGTGATTCTCCTGCCTCAGCCACCCACTGGGATTACAGGCATGCACCCCCACGCCCAGCTAATTTTTATATTTTCAGTAGAGATGGGGTTTCACCATGTTGGCCAGGCTGGCCTCAAACTCCTGGTCTCAAGTCATCTGCCTGTGATCTGCCTGCCTTGGCCTCCCAAAGTGCTGGGATTATAAGCATAAGTCATTACACCTGGCCCACTTTTTTTTAAATAGTAATGCAGTTGTTCATATCAGAGATAGAATGTATCTTTTATTCCATTCTTGTGATTCAGTTGCTAGCATTAAAATTGCCTAGATTGTGTGTGTGTGTGTACATGTTTGAATAGAAATTCATTTCCTTAACAAGTTGTTTCGGGGTCTATGATACATCAGGGTCTGTGATGGGGACTGGATTGGTATATGGAAGGAAAAATAAGACCTCTTACAGCAAGGGTAGATGGACAAGTAGACTGATGACTATAAGCAAAATAGCAAAATAAACATGTGAGAGAAAAGCCACCCAAATAATATCAGCTAACTCCACATCTAAAATGCTTTCATGCATGTTAGATCTTGAATTTCATCAATTCTAACAGGCTCATAGAACAGTCATAGATTCAGTTTCCTTCTTGACTGTGTCAAAATATCTACCTAGGAGATTTTTATTCATAAAATGGATTGTTGCAATAAAGTTAAAACATATGTTATGATATATATTTTATATGCTTTAATAAATGATGGAGTGCTTGCTTTATAAAGTCCATGTCTAACCATAGACTAGTCATTGATTCCTCTATTAATTTATTATGCATTATTATCTCTGCAGGAGAGAGTGACAGGCAAAATAGAAAGAAAGACAAGAGGGTACAATATTTACATAGTTCACTTGCTTACGACTTCGGTTCCCAAATCTGCTTAAGAGTCACCTGAGTTGCTTGTTAAAAATACAGATCTCAGAGCACACTAAATTCTTTATAAACCTACCAGCTACTCTAATAATGGATAATATTTAAAAAATTTAAGGTACCTTTGATGTTAGGATTAACATTAAAACTCTCCAAATTTTGAAGCCTAAGAAGTCAATTTATGTGACGAAAATGAACACAAAAAATGAACATGTTATTCTATAGCATTCTACTACTGTATTGAATTTCCTAGAATTAAAAATAATTGTCATATAAAGATAGTTCACAGGGTTCTTAATGATCTCAAAGGCCAAGATGAGAAATCAGCAGATTATTTTCAGTCCCATAGTTTTGCTAGCCAATGGTATTCAGAATTCAATATTTTAAAGATAAATATATCAAATTTAAAGACATATTTATGTAGATATATATATATATATAGATAGATTGATAGATAGATAGATAGATAGATAGATAGATAGATAGATATATGTACAGTGTATGCAATGGACTGAACGTAACATTCATATTCCCCAAAATTCAGATGTTGAAATCCTAACCTCCAAAGTGATCATATTAGGAGGTGAGGCTTTTGGGAGGTTATTAGATCATGAAGATGGAGCCCTTATAAATAGAATTTGTGCTCTTATAAAAGAGATCCCAGGGAATTATCTCTCTCTCTTTGCACCGTACGAGGATACAAGAAGCCATCAGTCTGCAGCCCAGAAAAGGGTCCTCACCAGAAACCCAACCATCATGCTGGCACCCTAATCTCAGACTAGGGAAACTCAGCCGGTCACCAGAACCATGAGAAATAAATTTATGTTGTGCATAAGCCACTCAGTCTAAAGCATATTATTATGCTTGAATTGTGCGTGTGTGTGTGTATATATACATATATATTTATATATAATTTACATATATATTTATATATATTAGTATATATATTTTCATATATTTATATATATATATATTTGGTAGAACGGTCAAAGTAAATATTTCTTTTCATGTTATTCTCTTTGATGTTTATCATTCGCCCAGGGTTTGAGAGAGATGAAAAGCTAGCTGAAACTGCTTGGATCTATAATGCCTATATGAGTTCTAAGTACACAAAGCATCAAATTTATTGGAAGTCTAATTTACGTTCTTCAGCTTACCATGTATTCTCTAAGATAGCCGTTTTCTGTTTTATTCACATGCTATAGAGAGTTGGGGCTCAACTTTTGCTGGGATTGATTTCCTTGGGAAATCGATTACTGGTTCAGCATTTGGAACTGATGCTGGAATTCTGCACCAACTCCTGACACTCTGTTACAATGTAGTTGCCAGAGGAGCTGTTAACAGTATGGAGACACTCAGGAACCCCAGGACACATGCTTCTATAGAACAAGGGTATAAAATAACTGTAGACCATGCCACCACCATTTCCTCCTTTAAGGTGGAAATACTTCCCCCAAATTGTCCTACGTCCTAAGACATTCTAGTTGAACTTTGAAAAATTATTAAGCTTTGTAACTCAATTGAACTGCTTAGGATAGTTTTAGCATCAAGAAACACGATACATTCTTTTTTTTTTTTTTTTTTTTTTTTTTTTTTTTTTTTGTTGGGGGACGGAGTTTCGCTCTGTCACCCAGGCTGGAGTGCAGTGGTGTGATCTCGGCTCACTGCAAGCTCTGCCTCCCGGGTTCATGCCATTCTCCTGCCTCAGCCTGCCGAGTGGCTGGGACCACAGGTGCCCGCCACCACACCTGGCTAATTTTTTTGTATCGTTAGTAGAGACGGAATTTCACCTTGTTAGCCAGGATGGTCTCAATCTCCTGACCTCGTGATCCGCCCGCCTCGGCCTCCCAAAGTGCTGGAATTACAGGCGTGAGCCACCAATACATTCTTTATGTCACCCCTCAAAATGCTAGTTCTTCCACATTTTTCTGCATAGCCCATAGTATTGAGACAACCTCTAGCACCCAGAAAAGATATTTTTCACTATCAGAAAGTGAGAGAATGTACTGGCCTCATGGACTGTTAGAGTTGTATTTGCTACTTAATGTAGATAACTATTTGCCTTTAAAGAAATACAGTTGCTATTAAGAACATTTTCTTGTATTTCTTCCTTTAAGAAACAAAAGACATTTTAATATACCAAGCGACAATGCAAGTAAGTTAGGGATAATGACTTTCATTAGAAAATAACTTTCCTAAAATTTTAGCAACTAGTAGACACACATGTATGTGTCAGAACATGAACTTGAGGACAAAATAGTGTGCCAAATAGCGAGGGGAGTGGGGAGAAAGTAGAGCCAAAGATTCTCAAAGCTTAAATGTTAGATGCTATTTGTACTGGAAATTGGTATAAAATATTCAATTCCTTTGTGGCAGTAACACAAGTTAATGAAAAATAACAATTCTATTGATTAAAAAATTAACTGACACCTTATACAATATACCTGTGACATAAAAATGATTTTAAACTAAAAACAATTTATTACATCATAAGAAAATTGAGATAATGAAACAATTCACTGCTTTATGCATCACATGACTTCAAAGCACTTAGAAAGTTAGGCCC
Source organism: Homo sapiens (assembly GCF_000001405.40). Taxonomy (NCBI): domain Eukaryota; kingdom Metazoa; phylum Chordata; class Mammalia; order Primates; family Hominidae; genus Homo; species Homo sapiens. The sequence continues at coordinate 53,089,734 of NC_000018.10, read as the reverse complement.
AATTTTCTTAAAGTATAACCACGATATGGCTATATAATAGGGATGACTTGTCCAATCAGCACAGTAGGCACTGTGTCAAGGGCCACAGTACTTTTAGGTGCCCATAAAGAAGGTTTAAGTTTTTTGTTTTTTGTTTTTTGTTTTTTGGTTTTTTTTTTAGTTAGGAGGAAAAAATAAGTCCATCCTGGATTACATTCATCTTTATTCCAAAGCAGTTATAAAATTAGTAACTTTTTCATGAAGAAAGAGGCCTGCAAAAGCATAAATGCCTTCTTTTTCCATAGACAATGAGGCAGAAGTAGACACAAGGCATGAAAGAGGAAAAAATTACTTAAAAATACATGAGTACGGCCGGGTGCAGTGGCTCACACCTGTAATCCCAGCATTTTGGGAGGCCGAGGTGGGAAGATCATTTGAGGTCAGGAATTCAAAGCCAGCCTGGCCAACAAGGTGAAACCCTGTCTCTACTAAAATTACAAAAATTAGCCGGGTGTGGTGGCAGGCACCTGTAATCCCAGCTGCTTGGTAGGCTGAGGCAGGAGAATCACTTGAGCTCAGGAGGCAGAGGTTGCAGTGAGCAGAGATCACACCACTGCACTCCAGCCTGGGAGGCAGAGCGAGACTCTGTCTCAAAACAAGCAACAACAACAACAACAAAAAAGTGAGTACAATCATTGCATTGATTTATAAAACTAATAACTAAGCTAGTCACATTACCATGAAGAATGTCTGGTCATATTTATTTTAAGTAATACACAACTGCATAGAGTTACTTATTAGAGCATATTCATATTATCAAGTATCACAAACTTATCAATCAAGTGTTTTGGGTTAATGCTCGTTTCTGGCTAATCTTTTTTAATATTCACAATGAGAACTATATGATCATTAACTTTGTTAATAAGAAAGCTAACTTAAATGTAACACAAAATAATAGAAAATCATTGCTGGGAATAAAAAGGGCATCATTATGGAGAAACTCCAGGTAGCAATGGTTTAAGAAAATACTCTACCATTTTTTATTGCGTCTATTTGATTCTTCTCTCTTTTTTTCTTTATTAGTCTTGCTAGCGGTCTATCAATTCTGTTGATCCTTTCAAAAAAACAGCTACTGGATTCATTAATTTTTGAAGGGTTTTTTGTGTCTCTATTTCCTTCAGTTCTGCTCTTATTTTAGTGTCTCTATTTGCAGACGACATGATTGTATATCTAGAAAACCCCATTGTCTCAGCCCCAAATCTCCTTAAGCTGATAAGCAACTTCAGCAAAGTCTCAGGATACAAACTCAATGTGAAAAAATCACAAGCATTCTTATACACCAATAATAGACAAACAGAGAGCCAAATCATGAGTGAACTCCCATTCACAATTGCTTCAAAGGGAATGAAATACCTAGGAATACAACTTACAAGGGATGTGAAGGACCTCTTCAAGGAGAACTACAAACCACTGCTCAACAAAATCAAAGAGGATACAAACAAATGGAAGAACATTCCATGCTCATGCGTAGGAGGAATCAATATCGTGAAAATGGCCATACTGCCCAAGGAAATTTATAGATTCAATGCCATGCCCATCAAGCTACCAATGACTTTCTTCACAGAATTGGAAAAAACTACTTTAAAGTTCATATGGAACCAAAAAAGAGCCCGCATCGCTAAGTCAATCCTAAGCCAAAAGAACAAAGCTGGAGGCATCACGCTACCTGACTACAAACTATACTACAAGGCTACAGTAACCAAAACAGCATGGTACTGGTACCAAAACAGAGATATAGATCAATGGAACAGAACAGAGGCCTCAGAAATAACGTCGCATATCTACAACTATCTGATCTTTGACAAACCTGAGAAAAACAAGCAATGGGGAAAGGATTCCCTATATAATAAATGGTGCTGGGAAAACTGGCTAGCCATATGTAGAAAGCTGAAACTGAACCCCTTCCTTACACCTTATATAAAAATTAATTCAAGATGGATTAAAGACTTAAACGTTAGACCTAAAACCATAAAAACCCTAGAAGAAAACCTAGGCATTACCATTCAGGACATAGGCATGGGCAAGGACTTCATGTCTAAAACACCAAAAACAATGGCAACAAAAGCCAAAATTGACAAATGGGATCTAACTAAACTCAAGAGCTTCTGCACAGCAAAAGAAACTACCATCAGAGTAAACAGGCAACCTACAAAATGGGAGAAAATTTTCACAACCTACTCATCTGACAAAGGGCTAATATCCAGAATCTACAATGAACTCAAACAAATTTACAAGAAAAAAACAAACAACCCCATCAAAAAGTGGGCGAAGGACATGAACAGACACTTCTCAAAAGAAGACATTTATGCAGCCAAAAAACACATGAAAAGGTGCTCACCATCACTGGCCATCAGAGAAATGCAAATCAAAACCACAATGAGATACCATCTCACAGCAGTTAGAATGGCAATCATTAAAAAGTCAGGAAACAACAGGTGCTGGAGAGGATGTGGAGAAATAGGAACACTTTTACACTGTTGGTGGGACTGTAAACTAGTTCAACCATGGTGGAAGTCAGTGTGGCGATTCTTCATGGATCTAGGACTAGAAATACCATTTGACCCAGCCATCCCATTGCTGGGTATATACCCAAAGGACTATAAATCATGCTGCTATAAAGACACATGCACACGTATGTTTATTGCGGCACTATTCACAACAGCAAAGACTTGGAACCAACGCAAATGTCCAACAATGATAGACTGGATTAAGAAAATGTGGCACATATACACCATGGAATACTATGCCCCCATAAAAAATGATGAGTTCATGTCCTTTGTAGGGACATGGATGAAATTGGAAATCATCATTGTCAGTAAACTATTGCAAGAACAAAAAACCAAACATCACATATTCTCACTCATAGGTGGGAACTGAACAATAAGAACACATGGACACAGGAAGGGGAATACCACACTCTGGGGACTGTTGTGGGGTGGGGGGAGGGGGGAGGGATAGCATTGGGAGATATACCTAATGCTAGATGACGAGTTAGTGGGTGCAGCGCACTAGCATGGCACATGTATACATATGTAACTAACCTGCACATTATGCACATGTACCCTAAAACAAGAAGAAGAAAGAAGAAGAAGAAGAAGAAGAAGAAGAAGGAAGAAGAAGAAAGAAGAAGAAGAAGAAGGAAGAAGAAGAAAGAAGAAGAAGAAGAAGGAAGAAGAAAGAAGAAGAAGAAGAAAGGAAGAAGAAGAAAGAAGAAGAAGAAAGGAAGAAGAAGAAGAAGAAGAAAGGAAGAAGAAGAAGAAGAAGAAAGGAAGAAGAAGAAGAAGAAGAAGAAAGGAAGAAGAAGAAGAAGAAGAAAGGAAGAAGAAGAAGAAGAAGAAGAAAGGAAGAAGAAGAAGAAGAAGAAGAAGAAAGGAAGAAGAAGAAGAAGAAGAAGAAAGGAAGAAGAAGAAGAAGAAGAAAGGAAGAAGAAGAAGAAGAAGAAGAAAGGAAGAAGAAGAAGAAGAACGGAAGAAGAAGAAGGGAAGGAAAGAAGAAAAGAAGAAGAAGAAAAGAAGAAGAAGAGAAGAGGAAGAGAAGAGGAAGAGGAGGAGGAGGAGGAGGAGGAGGAGGAGGAGGAGGAGGAGGAGGAGGAGGAGGAGGAGGAGGAGGAGGAGGAGGAGGAGGAGAGGGAGAAGGAGAAGGAGAAGGAGAGGGAGAGGGAGAGGGAGAGGGAGAGGGAGAAGGAGAAGGAGAAGAAGGAGAAGGAGAAGAAGAAGAAGAAGAAGAAGAAGAAGAAGAGAAAATACTCCACCAAAGCTGAAATGACAGAGGTCTGGATTTTATGTAAGAAACAAAATATTCAATTTTATCCTTCTTAAATGATTCTGTTTGCATTTCACAATTACTGAGACCATAATAACTGAATTTTTTTTGAAGGAGGATCATTTTGACAAACATCTGAAAATGAGTAACTTTGTATGGTCTAAGTTCAAGCCAGCATCACAAAAGTGTAGTTTTGGAGATGGCAGTGATGATTCTACCATCTTCCCACCTGAGAAGTTAGCTTTATATTCCTATTTAAAAAAAAAATGTGCACAAGTAAACAGAAGTCAGCCCTGTAACATAGCATGTTCTATGTTTTAATGGCTTCTCCCTTTGATTAAGTAATATTTCAGCAATTCAGGAAATCCATTATAATAATACCCTGTAGGATTTTTAAGGTAAAAATTTAAGACGGTGACTAGGTGATTTGGGGAGCTTATTTAACCTACAAATTGGAATAATAATTTGGCATTGTTTACTCCAGTTTCTTACACATAAAGAATAATGAGGACAAGGCACTGGTTCCTGACATTTCTCTGTGCTAAGGAACTGGTAAAGATCCTTAATTATTTTAGATGGAAAAAAAAAATCCCTGACTAGGTTTCTAGGTGTGGTTCATACTGGTTTTCTTGCATACATTTTTCTTCTTCTATGTGGTCTTGTTTGTGCTAAATTCTTCCTTTAGATGTTTATTATAACCCTTGGCCTTCACTTATTAATTCCTGCAAAAGCTATTGAATGCACAATCTCTTGTCCTTCAGAACCTGAGGGCAATTCCTTGTGGCTTCCTGGCTTTTGTGTTCTTTCAGTGGGGACTGTTTCCTTCTGTTCTGGAGGCTGGATTCTCTGGGTACCTGGATAATAGGCTTGGCTTTAAATTGTTTGGTGGGCATTCTATGCTTGTAGTAAGAACTATGGGATCCCCTATTTTCATAGTTCCAAAATTCTTCTTGTGAAATATCAAGACAAAGTCCCTTGGCAATGATAGTCCTAGATATAATTTTAAAAATCACTATTTGTTCAACATTGTCCAATTTCTGTAAGAATTTTCCAAAATGATCAGAATGTAGATGCAAAATTAGTGGAAGAATCTTGAATTCAAATTTTGTTTCCTACAGCTGCTATAACAAATCACTGCAAACTCAGTGTCTTCAAATTACATATGTTTGTTATTGTATAGTCTTTGGGTTAGAGGTCTCGCATGTCCTCTAGGCAAAGCTGTATTCCTTTTTGCAGGCTCTAAAGATGAATTCATCTCCTTGCCTTTTCCTACTTAAAGAGGCTGTCCACCCACAGTGCTTGGCTTGTGAGCCCTTGCTCTGTCTTCAAAGCTGGGAACCAGTTAGAAAAGCTGAAACAGAAGATCTGGCAGGGCCTGGAGGAGCAACTGGCTGAGGTATTGCCCTGTCCCAACAAGTGAGCCACCAGAGAGCAGCAACTCATATCCTGCACAAACCTCCCAAAAATAAAAAATAAAAAAGTATAGGTACTTGCAGTGTATTTAATATTTATTTCCTCCAAAACTCATGCTGAAGTTTAATCTCCAATATGGCAGTTTTGCAAGGGAGGGTCCTTTGAGAGATGATTGGGTCATGAGGACAGAGCCATCATCAATTTATTAACTCATTTATAGATTAATGGAATAATAGGTTAATGGATTAATGGGTTATTATAGGAGTAAGGCTGGTGGCTTTGCAAGAACAGGAAGAAACACCTGAGCTAGCACACTTAGCCTCCTTGCCATGTGATGCCCTGAGCCACCTCGGGACTCTGTAAAGAGCCTTCACCAGAAAGAAAGCCTTTACCAGAGCCAGCTCCTAAACGTTGCACTTCTCAGCCTCCATAAATGTAAGAATTGAATTCCTTTTTAAAAATAAATTACCCAGTTTCAAGTTACAAGTAACAGAAAGTGGACTAAGACACTACTCCCTTACATCTATTTGCCTTTTCTGGCCCACACTAACTCAGAACCACAAAGAGAGGGAAATTCGGAGAAAGGTTGTTACAGTTTGACTAAGTTGATACAGTAAAAATCCACCGCATTCATGTTTATCCTTTGATATTCACATGTCTCTGCTACAAAAGAAGGCTGTAAACAATTATTTTTGTTGTTCCTTATAGCTGTTCATTTTATCCCCAAAACTTTGAATATCTGGAAACATAGTAAGGAAATTTGATATGACAACCCCCAAATTTTAATCAGGTCTCTATGCACATGTAAACAAAGAGCTAGATTTTTTCACATGATGCTCTCTAAAGAGAAGTATGCCATCATATTTTTTTTGTATTTGTAGGTCTTGAAATTTATTTTGAATAGCCAAGAGTGTTAAAATGTACTCTTTCTAAAAACTAATGTGCAAGTAATGTTGCAGTTACAGGAAGACCTTTGACTCAGTAATATTTTTCAGAATGTTAACTGTTCCTTAGATGAATCTAACAAATAGTCAACAAAAAGGGGTCTCACAAATTCTTTTAGTATTCTTGACAGCTGTATAAAATGTAGGGGAAACTGACAACATACAGTGTGCACTTTTAATATTGCCAGTGTTCTTTCATGTTGCTAATCATCCAAGCCATACCTGAGGCCTTAGACATCAAAAATTTTACTTATAGCCAATTGAGTCTTTCCCAAGGATACCTGGATACCTCACATTTCTTTTGGCAACAATATATAGAATCTTCTATGTATATCTCATTCATGGTCATCAGTATGCCATCTCTAGCACACCAATTGTCACTCCTATTTGGAACAATCGAAAAACAAAGAATCTGAGCTTTGGGAACAGAAAATTGTATTGAAACAGATAGCAGAGAATAATAGATGTTTTGATGATTATGTTGTTTTTTTGTTTGTTCTGGCCAATAATGACTTGGAAAAATTTGTGGGAGAAATAGCAAAGGTAAAAAAAAAATGACCTTAGAATTGCTCTCTAGTAGAATCTAGCATGAAGAACAAAGTGGGCCAGTGTTACAGTGGTAGGCATATATAAAATTCAGTGAGATGTAGAATTTCAGGATCCACAAAAGGAGGCACAAACTGGAGTCTAGGAATGAGGGAGTGGAGGTAGAACATAGGAGATAGATATTAATGAGGTAGAACATAGAAGATAAATATAAATCCTAGTTAACTAATCCCAGGCCAGAAAAGAAGATATAATAAAGTTAGCATGTGTGTTTTCTGAAGGAAAATAAAACAGATTTATACATACCACGTGGAAACTATAAGAAAGAGACATACTTAGAGGTTTTTAGTAAACAAGAGCTAGTAAATAGATTTAAAACAAAATACCCATAGTTACTAATTTACAATGTATAATGTCATTGCTATTGTCTTCATTTAGCATGGTACTTACTAATTTGTTACTGAACAAAAACAATTATAAAGTCTTCATATATTTATTTTAATTAATCTGGTCCAATTTTTGCCCTGGAGTATTATATTTCTTAACTATCTATTTTCTTAACAGGAAAAGCTCTTTGTATATGACAGTGAAAATTAAGGAAAATAATTTTTTATTATAAAAGTGTTACCCTAAAAGAGAAACTAGTGTGTTAGAGAAAAGGATCTCTTTGAAAAATTAAGTTTTAATCCCCAGGAAAAATGATTAATAATAAAGCTAGATTCAGCCATAACCATATAACAATTTTTGTTATTATGCTTGCAAGGTGAGTTTATAGGTTTCCAAATGTGGATTTATTTATTATATTTAATGTTTTCTCTTTTAAAGTAGAATGATGTTAAAAACCCACAAAACCTGTACATGGCATAAATTGATAAGGACGAGGGTAGTTTAAAGAATACAGTGAAAGCCCCCATTGAAGCTTATGCTGAAATAAAATTTCCATTACTGCTGCATGGGGACCAACGCATTCTCCTTTGACAAGGACAGATTTTAGATTAAGCACTCTTAGATTGTAAATTACCATTCTTGATCGCTGGCCTCCCCCATCTACGGTGCCTTAGAGAAATGGGACAGACTGTGCAAAAGTGTAGCTTTTAAGAGGTAAAACCCTGACCCTTAACTGTCCCCAATTCCCACACCCAAATTTCCATGTTTCAAGGGAAAGAATAGTTATGTGAAGACTGTTTAATTTAAATAGGAATAAGGGACATTATAATTACAAATCTTAGTAGCCATTCCTAGAATGATTGGCTGACACAACAGTCACCATCCATCACCAATTACAATTACACATAATTTGGCCACCCGAGATAGAAAAAGCGGGGGCCTGCTTACAAGCGGTACCTCTGGATTCATCTTCAAACTTGCAAGAAATTTTATTTTACACATTAGCTGTGTACAGTTCAAGCTAAATAATTAATGTTTAAATGAGGCACATGTGACGTTCTTAAACAAGGGAAAAGGAGAAGTGGAGGTTTCACAGAGAGTGGAGGAGGTCTTTTTTTTTTTCTTTTTAATCCTGTCACTCAAAGATAAGACATTATCACTGATACCCAATAGAGACTGCTTTCCCTAGGTGATATCTAGAGATTCTAAATCATTGTTTGGTTTTTGATTTGTGGATTTCAAAAATATTGGAATGATGAAGTGACCATAAGATAGATTTTTTTAAGAAAATTCATTTTTATCAACATGAGTGCACATAGAAGTAGGCCATTCAAACCATAGTACACAGGTGTTTATTTCCTAAAGCAAGCTTACTCTGCAAAATCAATTTGTGAACTCATTACATAAATCCATATTAAACTATTTAGTCTATTTCTAGGTGGCAGAAAGCCAAAGTTAGTCCTTCTAATTTATTTCTCAGTTCTAATCTGTGTCTGCCACAGACAGAGGAAATAAAGAGGGGAGGGGGGGAAAAAGTGATAGTTTTTACCTTCTGATATTTAAGGATTAATCAAATCAATATATTCCAGTCCTGGCAGCGATAGTGCTCAGTGGTTATCTTATGTTAATGCATAACCCTTTAACTCATTATTCCAAGATGGCAGTGCAATGAGTTCCTTTCTCAAAGCTGGGTAAAATATGTCCAGCAAGGAGGAATCATCCCATCAGTAGGAGAATGACTCACTTATACCCTATCAAGGAACTAAAGATGCATGATAAGGCCCTGTCACACTCTCCCTTAAGCTTTTCATTACCATCAGCAATGCCAATAACTTACAGAATTCCCAGTCAGCATCAAAAGCTCCTTTTCAATTCAAATGCAAACTGCTAACCGTTTCCTCTTCCATATAATTCTTTGAATTAATCATTCTCTCCATGAGCAGAGTTGCCACTCAGTTTAGGCCATAATTATTTCCCTCTGGAGATACTACAAAATATTCTGCATTCATCTGTCCTCCTGCTCTGATCTAACACACAAAGCAAAATATGCTTTTCAGTAAGCCTACTAGTTTTGCCTATTTTGATTATAAATTTCTCAATTGCATGTTTTGGAGTCTTTGGGATATTTACTTCCTTTGCTTCACCTTTTACAATATCATAGTTTATACCTGGCATTATCAATTAATCAGTAAAACAAAGTATTTGCCTTTTAGGCTTCCTAATGAGTCATTGAGAGTCTGTCATTGTCAGGCCCTTTACTCCTGCTGGAAATACAAAGATGATCAAGACATGGGCCTTCAAAGGACTCAGAATCCAGGCTCTTTCTGTGGAGATGGACTTAAGTCATTCTTCCTCTTTCTTAAGTGATGGCTTTACCATCCATTCAGTTAAGTCAAGAATTTAGGAAACAGCCCCAATTCCTAATCCACCTGCACATATTCATCTCAATCTCCAATCTGTCAGGACCTTCTAATACATTAACTCACTCTTCTTGCACAGTTGAGGTCAATGACCTCATTCTCTCTTGCTTAGCCTACTGATGATACAGCTTTCCAACTAGTTTCAATATTTCTAGTCCCTCTTTCTACCACTGCCAACTCACACAGCTTCCAAAGTTATCTTTAAAAAACAGAAATAGAAGCAAGCCTATCTTTTACATTTAGCCATCCCTATCCCACATAGTCTAGACAAAAAGTCCAATTTTCTTTGTATATTCTAAAAGATACTCTGTGATCCAGCCCCTGCATATCTCTACAGCCTTACAGAACCACACATAATTCACTGAATACATACTTTTGCTTCTGCTCTATGCTCCCATGTGTTGTATGTAATGTTTCTTCTACCAGCAATTTCTTTGCCCTTCTTGGCAGCTTGGCCAAACCACATCCCTACTTCAAAGTCCATTTCAACTCAGATGTCACATCTTCAGCAATGAATTCCTCTTCCCATTGAAAGAGTTGTTTAAGTTCTCCTTTGTGCTATCTCCTTTTTCTTACCCCTATATCTTGCACTTAAATATTCCTGGGATTCAAAATAAATTTGTTCTATGCCAAACTTCCCTATTAGACTAAGGGCTTAAGCATCCACTTAACACGTGCATTCAGAAAGTAGAAATAACTTTTTCTAGGATGTTTCATGTGCAAAGTAACTACATCATTAGTATGAGGTTTTAGTGTTGTTATTTTTCTTGATCTAGAAAAGCAAAAAGATATTTACCATTTTTATCAGTTGAATTTCCCCAAGGGTCATCTGTTTCTATATAAGCAAGCGTATTAAAGAAGATCTAAAATATTTTATCAAAATTGGGCTCAAAGCCTCACATTAAATAATGAGAAGTAAGGCTCAAGTATAACAAGAAAGCAGGTGGTCTACGTGTCAAAAATTGGACATGGAATTCATGAGATCAAAAGACTTATGTATAGGCTACCAATTCTCTTCTCCATTCTTTTTTCCATTTATGAAATCAAGAAGACAAGGCAAGGGAGGAATATGAAATAAGCTACATAGTACTTTTATTCCCTTTTCCTTACAACTAAGTGCCATACTGTTAGGAGAAAATCACTTAAAGAAAGAATCAGTCTTCCTTGTTCAAAACAGTTTGTTCTGCTTTGGTACATTTTCATACAACTCAGGCGATGTCTGCCAGAACTGAACACATCAGTTCTGATTAGCAGGTAGGTCAACTTAAATAGGAACTGGACCTGAAGAATACCAAGAAATATGGGAAACTGGCTTTTCTGTTGGACTTTTCTTGCTTTATAATGACGTGTGTTTTAATTTGAGGATGGGGCATTTTAATTTCAAGTGAATTTTCTCACATTCATCATAGACGATCATCTAGATGAAAAAATTTATTTTGTCAATGTTTCAGGGAAAGTTAGGGTCACCTATAGATTCTTGGTATATATTTGTCAACACAAAATAACAAAGACAGCTGTGCATTGCCTATACTATTTAGGCTGATTAATTATTGTTTGATGGAACTACATTATAAGCTAAAGAACTCTGAATAGATACTTTAAATAAAAAAATATTATTTCTCTTTTTTTTAACCTAGATTGTAACCTAGACCTTTTCACTTAAACAAAATAGAACAATAAGTGAAGGAGCTTTTCAATACAATAGAAGCTTTGTCATTCTGTGTGGCAAATGACACTACCATCCTCGTAAGATAGGGTCAAACCCAAAAAATAGTATGTCAGGCACTGGCTGTGTTATGTTTGAGGAGTATTAAGACTAACTTTAAAGACTTAATGTTTCTTTGAATTGTATCTAACATCTCTCATTTGTGATTCTTTGTTAAAAAATCAATATCTAGGTAAAATTTATTTATGTATTTACTTACTTGCTTATGAGACAGGGTCTTGCTCTGTTGCCCAGGCTGGAGTGCAGTGGCCCCATCATATTTCACTGCAGTCTCAAACTTCCGAGATCAAGTGCTCCTCCCATCTCAATCTCCCAAGTAGCTGGGACTGCAAGTGCATATCACAACACTCTAATTTGTGATTCCTTATATATTTCTGGGTACTCGATAAATATTGAATAATGAATATAGCATTGCAAATCACTATGCTTTAATTGCATTTGATAATTAAGATTAGTTATATCGAATTTACTCTTTGTTAAACTATGGATTTCTGGATAGCAACAATTATGTGATATTCACCTCAAGACGGTTCACACATTTAACCCACACTTAGCAATGGGCCCTATCATATTGGAAAGTTGAACAGAGATCATTTGAGTGGCAGAATCCTAGACTTTAAAAATTAATTTCCAGTGTTTAACCTTTATTAGTAATTCTAAAACTAGTCTGATTAGACTCAAATAAACCTGAAATATCACCCATTTATCTGAGAAGCCTCCATGTGTGGACAAAGCCTGGGTAGACAGACCCATTATAACACAATGGCTGAGAAAGTAGGCTGAAAAGTCAGATGTTTTGCTAGCTGTGTGACCTTGGACAAGTTAGTTAACTTTTCTGTGCAGCAGTTTCCCTACTCACAAAGTAAGAGAAAAATAACCATGGGAGAGTCCACTGACCAGAACTGCTCATCATACCCTGGCTTCTCTGAGATGCACCAAGTTATAAGGTCAGACAGGACCATCATCAGTTCATGGGGTGAATTACATTTGGCATCAGGGAAAAACGGGACCAGAGGACATAACAGGAGGGGCCCAGACCTCCATGTTTTCAATCACTATTGTACAACTACCTTCCCCTTTAACTCACACTTATGACCAGGTGGTCAGCTTGGTCTGTGGGTATGTGGGTACACCCCAAATTGGATGGCTGCTACACTGCAGCTCAGTGAGGGATAGCCCCAAAAGAAAGTGGTAAAGAGAACCTTTCCCAAGGTAGAATGTTGAGTATACCACACCACCTACTTTATATGAAATTATAAATGGCTCAAGGTAGGACTATATATATATATATACATGTGAACAAGGTCAAATAGCTTGGCTGATTGGCCAATGATGGAAAGATCAGGAACAAAAAGGTTTGGGGAAAAGACATGTTGATAGGCCCACAGGAATGAACACCAAGTTAAAAAAAAATCTTTGAATCCCCTGTAAACACCAGATTGTATAATTTATGGAAGAGTCACTAAGCAATTATGTAGATGGAACAATTCAGCCTGTTGACATCAGCCAGCATCCAATGGTGGCATAAAGGTGCACAAATGATAAGGCTACAGAGGCAAGAATGGAGCCTATGCATTGCTCACTGGCATGGGCTCTAATCCTACATGGTTTCTGCTACTCACCAGAAGCTGCCACCACTGCTGTATGCCCAATCTCCTAGCAACAGAGACACATGCTGAGCTCCCAACAAATCACTATTCCTTAAGAAAACCAACTAGTCTCTGGGTGACATATTTACTTGGATGACTTCTCTTCTGAAAAGGTTAGAAATTCATCTTGACTGAAATAAACACATATTCTGGAAATGGGTTGCTTTTCCTATTCTCAGGGCTTCTACCGGCACCACCATCTCAGACTCACAAAGTATTTGAGACCAACATGGAATCCCTCATTATATTGAAAAGAATCAAATAACTTACTCTACAGAAAAAGAGGTATAGGCATAAATGCATTGCCACGGGATCTACTAATCCTATCACATATCAACAACAGCTGCTGACTTGATACAGCCAAAGTAAAGCCTTCAGAGGTGGAATTAAGGAGCCAGGCTGGAGACCATACCCTAAGCAAAAGGGATACCTTTTTCTAGGGTCTAGTATATGTCTAGATCAATGGCCAGTATATGGTACCATGTCCTCAATAGGTAGACTAAACAAACACAAGAGATTAAAGTAGGTATGAAACTGCTTACCATGACTCCCAGTGACCCATTTGGAGAATCTCTGTTTACCATCCCTATGACTCTAGGCTTGTAGACTCAGAAGTCCTAATTCACAAAGGAGGAATGCTTCTATCATTGAAATTTGAGCTATTGCTGCTGCCTTGTTGTATCATACGTCTTGTGCCAAAATACCAGCAGGCAAGGCAGGATACTATCCTGGCAAAATAATTGCCCAGGTCATTAAGAGGAGTTGGGAAAGAAGGAAAATATGATTGGCATTCTGATGATCTACTGGAGTATCTGTTGATACTCCCTTCCCCAATTTTGATCATGTATTGGCTAGTACAGCATATATGACCAGTAAAGGGACAGGAATTTGGGTAAGCCACAGAAACTAGCAGAGATGCTAGCTGAGAGTAAGAGGAATTTACAGCGGGTAGCAGGAGGGAAATAGTACCAATTGCAGCCTTGAGACCAGTTGCAGTTGCACTGGTGGGGGTTACAGTTCATCTCATTAACCTTCTTCTTTTCCCCAGGAAATAAGACTTCTCTAATCAAAAGGAATATATATCTCTTTCTGTGTATACATATAAGCACAGCATCTACATACTATATAATCTATATGTATGTATGTTTTGTGTGCACTCGCACATCTTTCATCAAATGGTGATATACAGGTGAAAGATAAAAATATAACAAATTCAAAGTCAAAATCATTTGGATTCAATATAAAAACCAGCATTCTTCTCTTCCGCTTTTTCTACTCTAGAGAGCTAAAAAAAAAAAAAAAAAATGGGATAACACTCTGGTATATTTACCACTGAAGTATGATGTGATCAATATTTATGAATCTATCAAGTTTTCCATATTGTATGGATTTATTATTATCACTGGTCTCAGTACATTCATATTACTGCAGAATTCATTTCTAATTTCAAAGTCTGCCATACAGCCATATCCTCTTGATTAGCACTGAGCTGGCTTCCTACCTGAAGCACGTGCTGAATGAAGGACAAGGTGAATGACAAGCCTTTATTTGCTGAGAAACCTCTGCCTACATAAAACTGGCATGAGCAAGTCATTATTAAACTGATACTGCAAACCGTGCTGCAAATCTTTCAACTAGCAGTCATTTTGAAAAAGGACTTTTCCCTTAACCTTGTCCACTAGGCTAAAAACCTAAATTTTGAATGGACATTGTCATTAAAATATGTGTTTACTAATTATTTTCTTGTAGGGTAGAAAAATATGCTAGAAGAAAGCTATCATTTTATCCATCCCAATAAATGCCTGCTATTTTTCTTGAGACTAAACAAAACCAACAAAAGACTTCATAATAGCTAACATTTGTGTGGCAATTTACAGCCCACAAATCCCTTTTACAAACATTTATTGCACTAAATCTTTGAGACAATTATCTACTGAATTTTACAGCTGAAGAAATAGAGACTTGGAAAGGTTAGGCAATATTGCCTAAGAATCTCTTCATAAATATACACTATATTCCAATACATTTTTAAATCTCTACAAGTAAACTGGATAAGAGTGTAGAAATGAGATGTGGACACATCTCATACACTAGGTGAGTATTATATGGTCAAAGATCAAATGACTGCTTTATGCCAAACTTAGATTATCAATGAATCACTCAGGGAAAATGTTAGCATGGGTGTCAACATTTCTCTAACGGGAGGGAGACTTTGAAGTAGAAAATAAAAAAAAATACATTACTATTCTCTTATTTTTAACTTTATAAGCAAAAATAATTTTACAATTTATTGAATAAATGTACCATCAGATATGCTGAAGTTAACAAAGCCACTTTGAAAAAACTTGGCTCTGTATCTTCTTAGCTACAATTAATTACCAAGGCTTATAAAGGAAAACGTTCTAGGGAAGCTTATGAGCTATAATATCACTGCAATATGTTTCAAAAATATTAAGTTGCACTTTTATGCATTTGGACCAATGATGGAACTTTAAAGAGGAATTTTGTAGTGTTAACGAGCATCTCTGTTTGTGTGAGGAAACTATAAGGACCCATTTACCTGCTTGGGTCGGTTAACATTGTAGTATGGCACATGAAATTGGCTCTTCTAGATTAGTTACAGAACTCCAGGGACAATTTGATCCTACACTAAACACAATGAAACAGTTAAATCATAGTAACTTTTCTCATATAAGAGACAAAATTTAACTTAATTCTCCACCAGTAGTTAATATCAAAGTAAGAAGTACAGCCCTTTAGATTCAATCTCTCATACGTAGTTGCTTAGGTGCTATTACACTGAAAAAGTAAATTCTAATAGATCTTAATAATTGAACTAATTATTCAATGTTCATTGCTTCACACTGAATCTCAGTGAAGTTAGTATGTCAGAATCAACATGTAGTAGGAAACACTATAATTATAATGTAATTATATTATAATATATATACAATTTTATTAGTATATTCCTTTTGTCCATTTGGATTTCTAGGTATTCTTCTTATATTGATAAGGAACAACTCATGAAAACAGATATAAAATACTTCTGGTTTTACGTCTTGATGTTCATGATTGACTCTTCTGAATTCCAAGCTATATGATATACTGACTTAATAAAATGTTTAAAATTCAACATCATTTGTAATCAGTAACCTTTTCCAGGGGAGGACAGATAATTGATAATGCTTCTCATTTTTCTAAACGTCTAACC
Organism: Homo sapiens; assembly: GCF_000001405.40. Lineage (NCBI taxonomy): Eukaryota > Metazoa > Chordata > Mammalia > Primates > Hominidae > Homo > Homo sapiens. The sequence continues at coordinate 53,073,637 of NC_000018.10, read as the reverse complement.
AATATATTTCCCCTACTACAGTGAAACTATTTTTTTTAACCAATGTTAGAGGGAAAAAAATAAAACCAGCATTTATTTTTTTATTCTTCATTATTATTATCATTATTATTTTGAGACGGAGTCTCGCTCTGTCACCCAGGCTGGAGTGCAGTGGTGCTATCTCGGCTCACTGCAAGCTCCGCCCCCCAGGTTTCATACCATTCTCCTGCCTCAGCCTCCCAAGTAGCTGGGACTATAGGCACCCGCCACCACGCCCGGCTAACTTTTTGTATTTTTAGTAGAGATGAGGTTTCACCGTGTTAGCCAGGATGGTCTCGATCTCCTGACCTAGTGATCTGCCTGCCTTGGCCTCCCAAAGTGCTGTGATTACAGGCCTGAGCCACCGCGCCGGGCCTATTTTTATTTTTTTTTATTTGTCTTCCTCTTCCAATAAAAACGTGATTATTTTTTAAAGTGGGAAATTTATCTCTTTTTCTATTTTCAATTTACTTTCCCCAATAGCAGATAGTAGGCCTACAAAAATATTTGACAAATGAATAAAAGAAACCATGCTTGCTTAAAAGCAGGTGTATATCTTAGATGAAGGAAGATCAAATGTGCAGATTACATTTATTGAGCAGTTACTATGTGGTAGATGTGATATGTGTCTTGCTTACATTATTCTGATTTAATTCTCCCATCAAATTGATGGCATAGATAGTACTATCCACATTTTGCAGGATATAATATTAAGGCTTGGAGTTAAGTGTCTGGCCTAATGTCACACAGCTAATATATGATAGAGCTGTGATTTGTACTTAAATTGACTCCAAAGTCTGTGCTCTGTCTACTCCACCACACAGCCAAATATGCAATATTAACATAAGACATAGACCCTATATCTTGCCCAAGCAAACCAACATTTTGGGAAATATCTATAATAGCATTTATTCTTGTTATGATTATATGGATTTTTCCCACAGCCATTTTGTGCATGGTAGAATATAATGAATACATTATTTCTTCCCATGGCAACTTTATTCTGTCTTCACGCATTTATGCCACTATATTAAACACATCCCAGACTACGTATGCCCCTATCGTAGGTGCATTCCCAGTTCCACGGCCCTCCACTTCCCTGCTCAGCAGTCAGGTACTTCCAACAACCTTCCGCTGCAGACACTGTCAGAAAACGGAATGCCATGCAACATCTAGAACCAGGATAAGAAACTCAGAGATAACTAATATCTTAAATTCATCTTATTATTTGTTCCTGCCTTGCTCCCCATCTCCTGCTCCCCAGCTCCAGATAATTGCTAACTTCTCCACTCAGCTACCAAACAGGGTCCTTAATTTAATTACTGCCTACCTGCACTACAATTTATTGGATGGTAACATGGGAGTAATTAATTTATCACCATCCAGTATGCCAATGGGATCCTAACTTATTGCTTACCTGTTTGCAACTCTGGCTACTGAAACTTCTTATTCTTGTAACACAGAACACATTGACTCTTTTTTTTTCTTCTTGAGATGGAGTCTCACTCTGCTGCCCAGGCTGGAGTTCAGTAGCTTGATCTTGGCTCACTGTAATCTCTGCCCTCCGGGTTCAACTGATTGTCCTGGCCTCAGCCTCCCAAGTAGCTGGGATTACAGGCATGTGTCACCATGCCCAACTAATTTTGTATTTTTAGTAGAGATGGGGTTTCTCCATGTTGGCCAGTTTGGTCTCAAACTCCTGACCTCAGGTGATCTGCCCACCTTGTCCTCCCAAGGTGCTGGGATTACAGGCGTGAGCCACTGCACCCAGTCCTAACACATTGATTCTTAACCCATTTTTTGCTAGACTATTCACTGAATAGTATACTTGCAGTAATAATGTCTTATTTAGAAAGGAGACTTCTTAGCCAACATCCTGCCCTCCCCTTCAAAAATTAATTAAAACAAACAACAATAAAACTCTGTCCCCAGATCTAAGGAGAGATTAATAAACAATACACATCATATAAATCAACTAAACTGAATTAACTTTCCATCACACTGCTTACATAATATGGCTCCATATTTTTAATGTAATATATGCAAAGTCTCATGTGTGCAGGAATCCATCCTCTATTTGTGCATGTGTTCTATAGAGAGAGACAGAAAATAAATAATTGCATAGATAGCACTGTGTGTATGGCATTATGTTACTTATGTACCATTATTGATAGAACCTCCTGTAGTGTAACGATTTTTAAAAACACCATTGATCTTCTTGATTTTAATCTTGATCTTTATCTAGAGGAAACCGTGTATACATTTCACATTTGAAAATGCATACATTTCAAATATTTTTCCCTAGCATTTTCTGGAGAGAAAAACAAGTCATTCACTCAATTTAATTCAGCAGATTATGTTCATTTTATTTCCTAAGTCACTAACTGCTAAAGAGGGAATAGGTAACTATATATAAAAGACTATGTTGAAACTTCATTAGGCTTATGTAAATATCCGACAACTACAGACACTGGCTCAAATAGGTCATTGTCTGTACTCCAGCGAGAAGCAGATTGTTATGGTTGCCAAGAGTAACTCTCAGCCACAAGCCCCTGTGGACAGGCTAAAGCTGAACAGCTGGGTAATGCACGCCCACAATGTACTTCAAAATATATGGTGACCGTTTATTGTCAAAACTTAAACAGAGAGGGCTATGTTCTTCCCACCATGGTCAGCCTCATTGCTTAATTTATAGCTGGCCTCTCTACCATCTGTGCACGCGGCCTGTGCTGCATCTCTGAGGAATTGGAGTGGCATTCTTTGAAGACCTGATTAAATAGCCAGGAAAAAGCAATCCATCATGTGTAAGGGGGAAATATAAGACAGTCACAATGGTGTCCTGTCACGCTTTCGGATTTTTATCTTCATTTTCTTTTACTTTCTTTTGAATCCAATGCCAAATACAATAAACAACGACCAAGAGAGTAGATGCCACTGACAACACTCTACCATCTAGATGGAAAATAAATGAATTTTCAAGATTTTCCTGGGCTCTAGTGAGGAGTTAAACGCCATTTCTGCTCAGGAGAGCCTTGACACTTTATGGTCACATAGACCTAAACAAATCAGGGCCCAAGTGGAATGCAAGATACCATGAATTAAAGGCTACCTGTAGAGTTCCTGGGAGAAGTGAAATTGAACATCTATAATGGGTTGACTGAATAAGCTCAACTATTGGAAATTAGAAGGAAATAGCTTTTTATTTTTCTGCTGTCATCCGTCTTCAAACACACACTGTCAGCTCTGTCTTCCCAACCCTGATTGTAACTTGGGTCCATCCTCTGGCCCTGGGGTGAGGTAAGTATTTAAAAGCCCTTATTGGCTGGGTGCAGTGGCTCAGGCCTGTAATCCCAGCACTTTGTGAGGCCGAGACAGGTGGATCACCTGAGGTCAGGAGTTCGAGACCAGCCTGGCTAATCTGGTGAAACCCTGTCTCTATTAAAAAATACCAATAAATAAATAAACAAATAAAATTAGCTGGGCTTGGTGGTGGATGCCTGTAATCCCAGCTACTCAGGAGGCTGAGACAGGAGAATCACTTGAACCTGGGAGGCGGAGGTTGCAGTGAGCCAGGATTGTGCCATTGCACTCCAGCATGGGAGACAGAGTGAGATTCTGTCTCAAAAAAAAAAAAAAGCTTTATCTTCAGGTATTCAAAAACAAAACAAACAGAACTCCACACAATAACAACCCCCCCCAACCCCACAACACACAAACACCTCAATGAGATCTAAATTAAAATATTCAACTAATAATTTAAAATTTCTTTCCATCTCTCAAAGCAAGTGTAGATTGTAAATAGGGAAGGGGGCAGTAGGACTGCCTATCATCTGTGTTTCAGTCTCTCAGGTCGCTTCTCCCTTCTATTTAGGGCTTCCTCAGGGTCAGAGAGGGGAGGATGGATTTGGAATAAAGAGACAAAGACTGTTTTTCTCAGCTTGTCCTTTCAAAAGTCCACACTCATGGAAGGTTTCTGCAAGCTTCTTTTTTTTTTTTTTTGTTTTTGTGGAGCAGTTCTGTGAGTTCTTCAGAAAATCCCCACCTTAGAAATGCAGTCACTGGACCCCTGCTGGAGTTGGCAAAGCACTCTCTGGCTGACCTGCGCCACCCTCCTAGCTCAGCTCCATCCAGGCGCCATCACTCTAGTGTCTTGGTTGGCACAGCCTCAGCAGACAGGACCTCTTGGGAAAAGTCCTTTCAAGAAACCTTCAGCCTTGCCTTCTTCAAGTGGAACTGACACCCTTGTTCTTCTCAAGGGTCGAAATAGAGCTTCTTCTTAATGTTGTCCTCTCCTTTCTCTTCCCTGCATTGTGGACAGCTCCAGGTGGTTTCCAGCCAGTGTGGAGGCGAAAGCAACTCCATCTTGGAAGCTAATCCACCATGTTTGTTGGCTTCTGATTAACCCCTCTTCTGGGAAGGCCTCTAAGATTTCCTGTTTATCAATTTTCCTTGTGTAACAGCAGGTACTTACCATAAATCCTGCCATTAGGTCAGAAAACTTTGGTGTTACTGTACTTCCATCATCTCACACTTCCCTTCAAAACCACTTCTCCCCATGGTATATAAGCCCTCGGTCTGGGGGCTAGTGGCATCCCCATGCCACCATGTTGTCTCAGCACTGCCAGAGACACAGATATGGCTCCTGTTCATAAGTCCCTATTAAGTATTTCTAAGAAACTAGATTTGTCAGCCTCTTTCTTTGGTCTCTCAGCTTCCTCAGACACTGGGGGCAGGTTTGTATAGACCATGAAATAGCAGAATAAAGTTGCCCATTTCCCATTTTTGCAATCAGTCCCCAGCAACACACACACACATACACATACACACACACACACACACACACACACAGTCTAAAAGGTTTTCTTGGAGTCTGTATAACTTGGCTGGTACAGGAGAGAAAATACCATGACAACCTCTCATCCTATGAATTCTAGCACTTCAAAGAATCCTCCCTCCCTGTGAGCAGGTACAGGGATGCTCACTGGACTTCTTTGGTCAGTGCCAAGTGCTAGGAGGATACATCTTACACCTCCTTTAGAAACACGAAGTCACTTATCTTGCATTGTCATCAGCTTTATGGCCTTAGCTGAAAAATCAAACTCACCTACAATTCTCCTGTTCTGTGACTGGCGTAGCAGCCAATATCAGCTTAAAGGCACCCATACTTTTGTTACTAATGATATGGTACAGTTTGTGGGGTGGGGGGAGGGAGAGGGATAGCATTAGGAGATACATCTAATGCTAAATGACGAGTTAATGGGTGCAGCACACCAGCATGGCACATGTATACATATGTAACTAACCGGCACATTATGCACATGTACCCTAAAACTTAAAGTATAATAATAATAAAATTAAAAGAAAAAAAGTGTGGCTCACATTAGAGACCCTGATTTTAAAGGTTCCTTTTCTCCTACTTATGCATTACTAGTTCAGCAGAAAATAATATACTTAGTCACACCAATGAAGTTACACTGACACTTAAGCACATCAAATGGAGGGAAAAGAAGTCCATCAGAGAAACTGGTGATCTTGAGCCAGAGTTAATTGCTCCTTTTAATTCCTACATAGTTCCTTTAGCTTCTTGACTCATCTGGTATTGTTGTTCTATAGTTATTTTATTTTTATTTCAATCAAGGAAATAGGAGAAAGTCATCTTTGTGAGCACTGCTGTGAATCTTCAGCTAACTGGCTGGGGTGCATACAATATAAGGACTTAATAGGCACATTTTAAATGATAAAAGCCAGAGAAAGACTATGTCTTATATGCTTTTCCTACTTTCTATTAAACTTACTTCAGGAAAAGATTAACACAAAAGCGAGCCATGTCAAAAGGAAGAAAACTGGTCCAAAAGAGTTGAAATGTATGTAACATGATAGATAACTCTTTATGGGAGATATTAACATTTTGAAGTATTTGGATCTGTATTAACAACTGTCTTGTCCCTGTTTTAAACTTCTTTAATCATTTCAGAGCAGCAGGATGGTTCTTTTGTTTTTATTTTTGTCTCTCCTCCCAAGAAATTGTGTTGTTATAGAGCTGTTACATGACAGGTCTAGTATCAATTTATTCTAGTTTTTGTTTTGTTGTGTTTTTTGTGACAGAGTCTTGCTCTGTTGCCCAGGTTGTAGTGCAGTAGTGTGATCATAGCTCACTGCAGCCTCAACACCCTGGGCTCAAACGATTGTTCTGCTTCAGCCTCCCAAGTAGCTGGACTACAGGTGGCTGCCTGTTTTTAAATATATATTTTTTTTATTTTCAGTAGAGACAAAGTCTTGCCATGTTGTCCAGATTGGTCTCAAATTCCTGGTCTCAAGCCATCCTCACCCCTTGGCCTCCCAAAAAGCTGGAATTACAGGCATGAGCCACTGTGCCCGGACTTATACTAGAATTCTGTAATTCAGCAATATATTAAGCTTCCAAAAGACTATAAAACAAAATGACATTTTTTGCAATTATAATTAAAAAGAGTAATTTTTCAAGATCCTTTTGATATGGTCTGAATCTGTGTCCCCACCAAACTCTCATGTCTAATTGCAATCCCCAGTGTTGGAGGTGGGGCCTGGTTGGGGGTGATTAGATCACAGGGGCAGATTTCCCTGCTGGTAGTGTTCTCCTGATAGTGACTGAGTTCTCATGAGATCTGGTTGTTTAAAAGTGTGTAGCACTTCCCCCTCTTTCTCTGTTTCTCCTGCACCAGCCACATAAGATGCACTTGCTGCCCCTTCGCCTTCCGCCATAATCTCAAGTTTCCTGAGGCCTCCCCAGAAGCCCAGCAGATGGCCAGCATCATGCTTCCTATACAGCCTGTGGAACCATGAGCCAATTAAACCTCTTTTCTTTATAAATTACCCAGTCTCAGATATTTCTCTATAGCAGTGGAGAACAGACTAATACACTAATTAACTTCCATTGATTCAAGATTACATATAAGAAAATATGTACAGTCCTTATGTATATATATTTATAGATATGTGTGTACGTATATATGCACATATATAACTAAAATATACACCTAACATATATGCAAGGTATATATTATATATTTTATATTTAAATGGAATGCTGGGAAGAAAGGCAGGCCACAAAAGAGGGAGAAGGTAATAATTTAGTGGTTATTGCCTTGAAAAGCAGAGGCCCTATTATTCATGATGACTTTATCTCATTGGAGATTTTATATATATATATATATACACAAACACACACATACACACATGCACATATATATATATATATATATATATATATATATATATATATATATACACACATGTACACACACAATTTTCTAGAGGGAAAATGTCATCAATACACAAGTATACACCTTAATTAACTAAATGATTTCATATTGCCATATTGCCCTTGAGGGGTAGGAAAAACAATATGGATTTTACCAACAGACTATGAATAATTTTCATTCCAGGTACCAAAGCAAGGTTCCCATTGTCTTACCAGGCTTAGGGACAATGAGCTGTGCACTGGTCTGGGCATTTCCAGCCTCATTTTCAGCCACACATTGATAAAAGCCTTCATCTGACTTCACCACCCCAAGTATCCGTAAGTTGCTTCCTCCCTAGGGAAAAGAAAAAGCAGGTAAAGTATTTTAGAAAGCAAAAAATGCAAGGTGACAAAATGAACTTAGATGAGACCAAAGTTTGATAAAACAGCACAGAAGAAACAAGAGGAGAGGCCATGAGGGGTCTCAGCCTCGCAGACGTGTCCTATGCCACCTGGGAAAAGTCATACCTTCCCAATTTTCTTTTCTGAATTCACAGGCATCAGTTTAACCTAGATCTGCATTAAATAATATGCTGACAAAAATATGCACCATCCTCAATACCTAAATGAGCAGTCAACAGACAAGTATTTTATTAATTATAGAAGCAACAAAGATTACCATGAAAAGAAATCTCATTCTTTTACTTGTTATTGAAGGAAGTTCAGGTTTAGTAGCTGCTCAGGAAAAAAAAGAAAGGGTATAAATACTGGTATTTGTGAATTCTAAAGGACAAGAAATCAAAGTTGGATATTTTCTGGAAGCGTTTGCCCAGAAAAATATCTAAAAATTCTTTAAATATTGTGATGGCTTTGACATATAAGCTTTTGGGGTTTGGAGAGGGGAGTATGGTGAATATTTTACACCCATGTGGTTCTTATTGTATGGCTGAAATGTTTCACCTTTATAGATTAAATACAGCAACATTAACTCCTTTTATTTAGAAATTGAGCCACCATCTTTTTCAAGGATGGATGATAAAATGATCTAGAGATAGCATTTAATTATACTAATTCAGTTTATCTTCGATATTAGTGTAAGAATTAGTTAAGTAAGTGAAACGTGTTAAATCACCTCCCCTGAAGTCATTAAGAGATAAATATTACCTCATGGGGAATTCTTAATTGTTTTTAGTGTCTTGTAATCAATTCCTAGCTGATGTAAAATTCTTTGATAAAACTGGCTAACTTCTAATTAAGAATTTTCATATAACTTACTATTTGTGCTCAATGTTAAGTGTGTGACAGAAAATGGCTCTCAAATTTCTGGAGCTGTTGAGGAAATATTTTTAAGCACAATTTAATGCAAATCGGGCAATACCTTACATTTTCTTTCACCTATAAAAGAAGAATTTAAATTGGTTGGCTGTAATGAGTCATGCTGGGAGAAAGATTATATTCAAAATGTAGAAAAAAATAAATGTTGCCTTTTACAATACGTCCTTAAGGGCACTGAAAAATGTCCTTTAAGTGTAAGTAGCATATATTTTAGGCGTATACAACACTTTTTAAAGTGCCCATTGGCAGATCATTTTTAATTCAGTGGTAGTGGAAATAACATCGCCTTTAAAGGAAATAATGGATCACTGTGGCATTTAAAAGTTAAAATTTTATCTTTCTTACTCTATTTCTAACCAATTAAACAAATGCAACTAAAAGTGAAAAATAATAAGTGGTAATAAAAGTGATAAAATGTCCTTTATGGATGTATTCCTTAAGAACCTTTATAGTAGGCCAACATGCATGCACACAGATATTATGAAAGTTTCTGAAAGTCGACTGATTGTGGAAGAGGCACTTTGCAACAAAGGCCATTGTAATACGATGGAGAGAGCTTGTGTCTGGACTCATAGGATGACTATGCTCTAGTCTCATTCTGCCCAGGAGACCTGGCTAGATTACAGCTCTTTGAAAGTGTCATGTCTGCATCTCAAACATAAGTAGGCCTAAAACCCTCTTCTGTAGCTGCAAGTTCTTTGTTATTTGAAAAGAACTTTACATCGCTCTCATATATTCATATACCTAAAATCAGAACCTCCAATGCTAACCTATACCTATAAGTGAGATTTCATAGAGCATTTCCAAATGAGACAAGCATTCTGCCAGTAACAGCAAAAGCTACAATAATGGAAGGTATTGAGCACTCCATGTGTACCAGGCCAACAACTCAGTGAATAGAGTACCACTATCCCTATTATCTCCCACAATAGGGATAGAAAATGAACTAAAACTTATAGTAAACCATAGAAGTTATTCCTCTTAGCTTCAATTCATTCCAGTATTGGAAATTACAAAGCAATGTGTACTCTGGTTCTTCATGGCCTATGACTGCAGCCACCAATGCCACCAGCACCCACTGTCCTCATTACCACATCACCACTGCCTTTCTCAATGGCTCATGTAGGATAAGCTGGTCCTACAGGGCAGGGTAGGAAAAAAAAGCTGTCTGTATTACCAAGTGAAGACTTCCATAATCATAAGTATCATATCTTATAAAACTGTATTAAAATGGGTAAAAGTCAAAGAAGTAAGGGATTCTTGGCTTAAGTCTAGAACTAGGTTCTAAACTCTCTTTGATAAACCAGCAGTGAAACTGTGAAACTACTCAGAAATACTTAGGCTGTCTGTATTTCATTTATTTTTGTTTGTTTGTATGTTTTAAAGTCTTGTCTGTAAAACCAGGGGGCTGAATTCTTTGATCACTCTTTCTCAGTTCAAATATTCTTATGTCTAGAAAATCATTTGCTTTATTTGAATAACTTTTTTAACACATCACAAAAAATCTCCAACAGGAACCTTTTTTTTTTTCAAGAAATAAAAACAAGTGAAAAAAATAGAAAACAATGAATGGGATTATAAAACAAATATGAAACAAAATAATTACCACTATCTGAAAATAATCACTAGGAATGACCACATCTCCATTCTTCATCCAATTCACAGTGGGCACAGGCTTTCCAGAGACTGTACATTCAAACTCAATATCCATGCTTTCATAGGCATACAGGTTGGAAGGATGATTTAAAAACCATGGCGGAACTGCAAAGACAGAAAAAAAAAAGTGAGTGAGTGGGTGGGGATGTGAACTTGCATGCTGCTGAGGTCTTCACTGAGTTTAAAACACTGCTCTGGGATAGAAAATATTTATAATTCAAATCATTCCCTAAGCTCTTAGCTTATTATACAGGAACTATTATAAAACAAATCTTTTGTTCCCCCAAATGCAGTTAAACAGTTGCAGTTAGTGGTGTTCTGCCACAAGGAAAGAAAAAAGGAAACACTTTTTGGAAAAAAAAAACATACATAATAAACATTCTGAATATCCATGTGTTATGTACCCAATTGACTTACACACTGAAAAGTACATAAGTCTTTGGAAACTATTCTGATAAAGTAAAGAAAGGGAAGCTGGTGGAACTGAGACAACCCAGAGGATAAGATAAGAAAGCTCAGTTGTCCTGTAATTCTAGAGTTTCATTAGGATTAATGTGATGGACTCATTTTCTGTTGAAACTGGCTATGGTGATAGGGAACTACACAATGCCTATATCATCTTTACTGTGGCCACATTCTTATTGTCTTAGCAATTATCTACTGTAGTGTATTACTATACTGTATTATAATTTTCACAGCATGGCATGTGATATACTAATTTAATTCCATTTCTTAATTATCGTAACACTAGTTACTCTATGATGGAAATTTGCAATTGAATGAAAATTATAAATATAACACATCTTTGCTAATGACTTGGCTCAGGCTTAGCCCACAAAACCTTGCCTAGGAGAAAGAAATTCTAAAAATTAATGTTTATTCTCTTCTGTGGGGAAACTTAAGAGTGACATCAGATTTAAATATTATATTGACTGAGAAGCCAGATTAAATTCACAGTGAAGTAGCAGCCGTGATCTGTTTCACATAGAAAATGGATAGGTATTTTTAGTAGCCATTACCAAAGGTAGACTGTGTTTTTGTCATTTTTGTTATGCTCAGTGAGTGATGAGTGCTAATTTTTTGCCTAAGTAGCTGCTGTATTTTGCTCTTTCTAACAGCCATCAGAAAAACTTTCTCCTGACACCAAAGCTAATGTCCAATCTTTGATGGCCATTGCCTTCTAGAAAAATAAAAGAGCTGGTAAAAACTCTCAGGATTTAAGTCCTGATTTTTCCTACTGAATGATCTCTCTCTTTCTTTATTATTTCCCTGATTAGTAACTAAATAATATTTGGACCTCTAAACAACTTGGCTAAAATTATTTATTAATTATTGATGATATTAGTATAAGGCTTTTTTGATTCCTTAGTCAAATTCACTGACAATAAACCAAAAGATATCAGAAATATTACTTGAATACCTCTGAGCAGAAGTATTAGTTGAATATATGGAAACAGTTCCATTCTGCTGTCTGTTTTCCCAAAGACTTTGGTCAAGGGTTCATTTAATACCCAATGCCAAACATTTATTGAGAGCTGACAATGCAGAGTTTATTATCCTAAGCCCTTTATATTTATTATTATCTCTCCCACTACCTGAAGCAGGTTCTATTATCCCCACTTTACAAATGGAGAGATTGAAGTACAAGGTGTTTAAATAACTTTCCCCAAATTACACAGCTTGTAAATTATGAAGCCAGACAGTCTGATTCCCTGCCTATGTACTAAAGTGATTTGCTATAACTGTCTCTTTTGCCACTTGAAACTTCTGGCAGAAAGATACTGCAATAATACTTCCAGAGCCTGAGAGATAATTGTGATAAGCAATTAGAGTCATTAAATAAAATCACCTTTCTAACCCTCCTTTCCCTTTATTATTTAAGTTCTTCTTTCCTGGTACCATAAAAGTTACCTGAATCTATCCATCCTTTCTGTTTCTGAAATCATTATGTCTACATTAGAGTTTTTCAAAATTTGGGTCACATCCATTAGAACTTGAAATCAATTGACTGGGTTGAGACTAAAATTTAAATATATACGTTTACGTATGTATACAAACACACACACAGAGAGAGAAAGAGAGAGTAGGAATAGAAAGGATTAGGAATATAGAGGGAGAAGAGAAAGGGAGAGAAGAGAACACCAAATTTATATTGAAGAAGAGAAAAGAGAAGTTTCAAGAGCCCAAATAATGGAGCCAGATTGGGCTGGATTTAAATCTCAAGTCCTTCTCTCACTGCGAGTGCCTCTGTTACTATCCTCATCTATAACCTCGAGATAAGAATTGAGAATAATGACAGTTAATGTTTGCAAATAACAGTGCATAATTGCATGATAAATAAAATAAATGCAAAAATATATTACAATACATCACTGGTAGCAAACATAATTATTGTATGTAACTATACTAAAATACATAAATGTGGTATGTCTGTTTATGTGTATGTATGTAGCCTCTTGCTTTTTTTCAATTTTGTTATTTCCTTATTCTCCAATTAGAGTAGTTTTCTATATTCTCAATGTCAAAAATAGTGTGCTCTACATAACAGAATTTCTCAAAAAACAAATGATTGAGTTTAAGTGATTGCTGTTTTCTAACAGTTTCACACAGATTCACTGTTTTTCCAACTTGGGGTTGTAGGACTCATTTTCCTGTTTATTATCTCTCAATGGAACTAAATAAAGCAAAGCTGATCACGTAGTGAATCCCTAAAACCTTCTCTTACATTGATTAATAAAATAGAGTGATTTCTGATTAACCAAGGGGAAAATAATCTGATTTAGCCGTATTATTATAGTTGTAATATTGTTAAGTACCACAGGGATGCCTCAACAATTATTTCCTGATTACAAACGTATATGTGAGTTCTAATCTATATTTTGTAATTTTCTCATATTTCTTAGGCTTCCGTCATCACACTGGACACCTTGTCTTCTCTGGCTATCTTGATATCTTTATTTCTATTCAGATTCTCTAACTTTCACAGTATATCAGACAGCAGGCAAGGGAAAAAATAACTTTTCTCACTTAAATGGGGAGTTGAAGTACCAAACAGCAATATTGTGAATCAGAAATGAGTCTAAGTCTAACCAGGTACTGTGGCTCAGCCACACTTTGGGAAGCAGAGGTGGGCAGATCCCTAGAGGCCAGGAGTTCAAGACCAGCCTGGCCAACATAGTGAAACCCCATCTCTACTAAACAGCAGCAACAACAACAACAACAACAGCAACAAATAAAAATAAGCCAGGTGTGGTGGCACATGCCTGTAATCCCAGGTATTTGGGAGGCTGAGGCATGAGAATCGCTTGAATCTGGGAGGTAGAGTTTGCAGTGAGCCGCTATTGTGCCACTGCTCTCCAGCCTGGGTGACAGAGCAAGGCTCTGTCTTAAAAAAAAAAAATGAGTCTAAGTCTCATGTTTTCTGAAATATACTGTCTATTAGGCAGTGTTATCAGTCATCAGTGGACTATATCATAAAGACAAGGGCTAAGGATTTTTCTCCATATCTCAATGCCTAGTACAATGCCTCATCCTTAGTACATGCTCAACAAAGATTTGCTACTGATGCCAATAAAAAACTCAAGCAACAAAATGCATATTTTCATCCTTTGCTGTGGCAATATTGGTAGAAGATGAGTAGAAGAAGTTCGGATAATGCCATGGAAATGATATATCTACAAAATAATATTATTTTCTTGTCATAAAAAAGTCAATTAATGATAAGAAAAAATAAAGAGTGAAGAATGAGGTACCATGACTATTTAGAGAAAATAACGGGTATTGATTATTTTAGAATACTTTTCAGAAATATTAAAGCATATCTTCCAAGTTCGCTGAGCAAAAGGAATTAAAATACTTACATAACATGGGAGAGGGTCTTAAAAAGGTCTAAACATACAGGCTTGGGTTGGATTAGGAATTAGGTTAAAGCTCTTCTGCCTTTCTTTTAAATAATACATGACCAAATTACTGCTTACTTGTTAAACTTATCATCCACACGTGACTTACATATACCCCATGGCTCAATGAAACAAATGACCCTTTTCTAATTCTAAGTCTTTGTAAATTCTATTTTCTCACCCTGAAATGTTTACTGTTTCACTCTATAATATATACACTGATACAGTTTGGCTACGTCTCCACCCAAATCTCATCTTGAATTATAGTTCCCATAATCTTCACATGTCATGGGAGGGAACCAGTAGGAGGTAATTTAATCATGGAGACAGTTACCCTCGTGCTGTTCTCATGATAGTGAGCGAGTTCTCACAAGATCTGATGGTTTTATAAGAGGCTTTTCCCCCTTTGGCTCCACACTTCTCCTTGCTGCCACCATGTGAACAAAGACATGTTTGCCTCCCCTTCCACCAAGACTGTAAGTTTCCTGAGGCCTCCCCAGCCATGCTGAACTGTGAGTCAATTAAACCTCTTTCCTTTATAAATTGCCCAGTCTCAGGTATGTATTTATCAGCAGCATGAGAATGGACTAATACAGACACCCTACCTATCCTTCATGAGGCTACTTCTCCAAGAAGGATGTCCTGATTTTTTCTTGAAAAATTTTCTCTCCTTTTGGAAACCCTGTGGTATTTATTTTAAGACTTGGTTTCTTCTGCACTGTATTTATTTGTGCATGTGCTTTATCTTGACACTAGTATGTGACTTCTCAGTGGAAGTGGCTCTATCAGGCTAACATGAAATCAATATGTAACTGAATATATTTTTGATGATTACACTATTCTGCAAGGCAGCAGACAAATAAAGTTTACCCAATTTTCCCTTTTTTGATCTCTGTTTTTTTCTCAGTGATGATCAGACTAGGATCTGGGATCTATTTGTCCCATTTTGGGATTGCTTCCTAGAATTTAGGATCAAAGTATAATCATGTTATACTATTCACAGCTCTGGAGTCCTATATTCTCAACACAAATTGATAAAGTCATCTCTAATTAAAGGGTAATGGGAAGTACCATTTTAAAAAATTATGAGAAAACTTTCATTATACCACTTCTGTTCTCAAAATGTTGTCAATGAGCTTTCAATGTCCACAGAATAAAGACCAAGCTTGTAACTTTATATTTAATAACTCAGAGGTTAAAAACTTCCCTGCTCAAATCTTATTTTTTCTCATTCCTTTTCTGTAGAAATCATTTAATCTACTTAAACTAATTCTACTTGCTATTAAAACAGGATATAATAGTTAAAATGGCTCTTTAGGATGATTTAATATAATTGTTTTATTTTACAGATAGAAAAACTGACTAAAGAGTGAATATGATTCATCAATGGCCATGGATATATTTCTTCAGCACATTTCTGGCCATGGATTTCTGTCTGGAATTGCATTCCTCAGATGTTATATGTTCTATTTATTCTCCAAGAAGCAGCTCACATATCCCTTTTCCATAACGTTCCATGAAGCTGAGAGTAGCTTTCTTCTGCTTCTTGCAGTGGTCTATCTCTGTGGTCAACTTTTACACTACTTATTATATAAGTTATCTTTCACATATATCACTATTTACCAACCAGATTAAGGTTCTTAAAGATGGAGCCTGAAGCATATGTTTGTTTGTTTTTTAAATCCCTTTGCACATTACGCTTTCTCCCACTTCTGTGGAAGGACTCATTTCACTACTTTAGGCTTTTTGGTTGGCAGCAATTTCCTAATGACTAATAAAAGTACCATGAATTTTTAAGTTTATCAAATTGTTCCATTTACATAGTATTAGTCCATTTCAGAGAAAAGCTTCATACACATGTACAATGTTTCAAGAATTTCAGGCAAGATATTGATTTCAGTTGTACTTTCCTTCTCTGGAATAAAATAAAATCCATGGCCAGAAATAAATTGTCCACATTTCCATCAGATCTGGGTTTCCTAGGACCTTTGCAAGTACTTCTAGTATATACATAAAGAATCATTTTTATGGGGGGCTGAGACAAGGAATCCCAACCAAAACTAATAAGTGATAGAAATGTAGAAAAAATATAATTCTGTTTTTTAAAAGTGTTTATCATATTTAGAAAGGTATAATACATAAGGGAGACTTCCAGACTGCAATTGTTAAGAGTTGTACAGGCAAACCTTAAATTTGGGTAAAAGTTTTCTTTAAATTTATCTGTTTTTCTTTTTAAACGTTTCTATGCCATGACTACCCATTTGAATTCTGTACAATGAAATTTCTTCTGTGATTTGAGCTCCAAACAAAGTCATCATCAACAGCTTAAATAGTATTATGGGTTTTATTTCGCATAATAAATGCCCATAAGTATTTTCAGCAACACCCCATATAGGTGAAGACTTGCTTTTTTTTTTTTTTTTTTTTTTTTACTTTTAGAAGTTACTTAGCTATTCAGCTATTCTTTTCCAGTTACTTAGGTATGTAATAAATATGGGTCAATTTTAAAATATCACTGTAATATATATAGTATTCTCTGCATTATCTGAACTTTGAAAACACTATATTCCAAAGAATTACCACAGCTCTTTGAAATGACAAAGAATGCATTTTTAAAACCATGCAGTTGGTTTAAATTAACAATAGGCAGCACAAACCACTCTGGTGACTGAACAACACAAACTGAGTAAAAAACCAGATTGATGAACAGATTTTATTAGGAGAAAAAAAAATAACCATAATCTTTGAGTGGCTGTGATTCTGCCCTGAGAACAGTGGAAAGCCAGCTAGTTTCCCTGGAGCCATGTGCCTTTGGACTTCATTTGTTCATTTTTGTTGAAATACTGGACATAATAAGGCCATTAATCTTCTCTGGAATGCATATATTTGAAAAGACTAATCACACCAAATGTCTAGGATGAGTTTGCTGCCAAATTGGGCTACCTCTAAATCCAAAACAAATGGGTTATTTCAAGTGCAGTATCAAAATAGTATAAACAGATAATTTCACTTTAAGGAGCCATTGTTTCACATGCAACCACATTCAGATTACTACGAAGGAAGCCATCTGGCATTGAATGCAGGTTTGGAGATAACATATTGGTGTGGTTTAGCTCTGTGTGCCCACCCAAATCTCATCTCGAATTGTAATCCCCGTGTGTTGAGAAAGGGATCTGGTGGGAGATGACTGGATCATAGGGGCAGTTCCCCCATGCTGTTCTCATGATAGTGAGTTCTCAGGAGAGCTGATGGTTTTAAACTGTGGCACTTCCTGTCTCCTGCCGCTTTGTGAAGACATGTATCTAACTTCCCCTTTGCCTTTCGCCGTGATTGTGAGATTCCAAAGGCTTCCCCAGCCATGCAGAACTGAGTCAATTAAACATTCTTTTCTTTATAAGTTACTCAGTCTCAGGTAGTACCTTTATAGCAGTGTGAGAATGGACTAATACACCTAAGAGGAAAAATATTCTTTATAAATACAAGCTTCCATGTTAAACATACCTTAACAAAATTCTCATTCTAGGTAACGGTATTTCTAAGAGACTTGTCAAGTGTGAGATGAGAAATGCAACCCGATAGTTTCTATTCTTCCTGCACCAACTTTTGTTGCCAAAGTAACTTGTATTTGGCTAACTTGATCTTTAAATGCATACTCCTTCCTTCCCCTCTTTTTTAAGGAAGGTGCTGTGATGATGCATCTTCTGTCCTATTCAGAGCTTCTCTCCCGGCCTTTTCTTACGTGACAAGTGACTTGAAGTCTGCTTAATATTTCTCTCTAGTTTACTTTCTCCTACCTACATATCTGTACTCTCTCATAGGATTGGTTGTTGAGATTTGCATTTGATTCTCCATACGAGTGTCTCTCACACATACCTGACTATACTGTCTAAACATTTAGGTTAAGTTGGTTTCTAGCCTTAAGAGAGTAGAATGTATTACACGTTGGAAATAAAAGCATACTTAAGTTACATTCTATTAATAATGAATGGCCCTTCTACTGTACTAGAAAAATGGATTTCAAGGTATGGATTTCATTCTAAGCATTTTCTATTCCAAAAGATGTTTCAATCTCATCTGGCAGTGATTATTTCCATGATGAGGGGAATGTGCTTGGGTGCTCTGACAATTTCTGGAATATGTATTAACTTTTTTCCTGACACAGGTGTAAGCCCAAGTGGGATATTTACTTTTATACATGTTTTCTCAAATGAAAGTAAATATATTATTACTGAAAACCACATGACAGAAAAGCAGTTGGTTCTACAGCAATTCATCCCATTGTGGCATCAATCTGGATATGAATTCACTAAGCTACTAACGCCTTAAGAACATGGATTGTCTTATTTATCTTTGTGTCCCCAAGGCCAAGCATGGGATAGGTGCTTCATAAATATTTATAGATGACCAGGCATAAGTGTAGTTCAGTCCTCAACGGCAAATCCCTTGGCAATCAGTCATCTTCTGGCTGCAGATGAGTAATCGCTTTGGAAAATCTAAGCGGGGAACAACATTTAAGATATAAGGGGATTCTTTTATTCTAAAGTTCATACCAATTGCACCTATAGAATATTAGGACAAATAGTAAGCTATTCTGCTATCATTGGCAATGACAATATTTTAATAATCCTAGAGAAATAAAATGTTAGACCTTTGAATTTTATTTTCAAACCCTAATAGTATACTTCTCGTGAGCACAATTTGCTGAGAAACACTTCTATCTAAAAATTCAGCTGTATGTGCTGTGGGAATGAAGAACATTTAGTGTCCTTCATATATGCTAGGAAACGATTCTAGATCTCTCCACACAATTTTCTTTAGCCAGACAAATAATCCCATTGCCCTTCCTTAGTTCCAGCTCTTCCTGTAATCAGAGTTGCTTCTTTCTAAATCCAGACTAAGCTTTCCATCTCTCTAATTGTGGAGCCTAGGATCAAACTGAGAGCACAATTTTGTGAGGTTCAAGCCTGTGATAATAATAATGGGAGGATTATCTCTGGGTCCAAATTCTATATACTTACTGACATTATTGCTACGCTTTTGTTAATATAGTGGCTGGAAATAATTCATGTGCTATTGATGGCTTTTGATAGTTATTGGCAACTCTCCAACAATTAAGCTTGCGTGTGTGTGTGAGCCTACATATACACACATATTTATATTTATATATATATTCTCATATGAGATAATTTTATACATTCTCTAATGAGAATTAAGATTTTATATAGCTGGTCCTTCATATATATCTGTGGGTTCTACAGTCAAGGATTCAACCGACTGCAGATAAAAAAATAACAATACAACTATAAAAAATAAAATATGTAAATGCAGCTTAATAACTATTTACACAGCATTTACACTGCATTAAGTATGAGTAATCTAGAGATGATTTAAAATATATGGGAGGATTGACGTAGGTTATATGCAAATATTACAACATTATATATCAGGAATTTGAGCATTCACAGATTATGGTATCTGCAGGAGATCCTAGACCTAGATCCTATCCCCCACAAATACTGAGGGACCACTCTTCTTCTATATAAAATATATGATCACACAGAATAAAGTGTCCTGCACACACATAGACTCACACAAATATATATCCATACATATACAATTGATAAACGTCTTTCTTTGTCGAATTTTCTGTTTTAGCTGTGAACTAAATGAGACCATGTTAAGGAAAACAAGATTTAAGTGTTAAATCATGTGTGTTGTTTGATGCCACAAATAATAAATATCCAAAATAAATTATCCTGTTCCCAAACAATGCATACTGACAGAAATTTGAGAGCTATTATTTTTCCTCAGTCAAATATTTTCTAGTATTCCCTGTTGGTATTTGAGAGGAAAAGATGTGGCTATTCTAAAAGCGTAGAATAAATGTTTCTGTCATGCATGAGAACTATTTCTCTGTCTTTTTAACTGCATTACAGAAGTACACTAAAACATAATAGAAAATTTGTTTTTCCCATTTCTTATTAGTAGATTTTCTATGAGGGAATGGTAGATTATAACACATAACTGAATTTCCCTCTCTTAATTCCTAATGAAATAAAAAGTAAATCCTAGTATATACATCGACACATAAAAATCACCCACAGCAGTCAAAGAATGAAAAGAAAGCATAGCAATAGCAAATAAAAACAACAAAATCAAAACAAGTGTTTCTGGAGTAAAACAGAAAAAGGATTTACTTTCTTATCTTCCCTTAAACCCCAGAAATTTTCCTGAAATTTGGGGGAAAGTCTAAGAATTCTCACTAACACCGCCGAACATCAATGAATGCAAAATTATGAATAGCCCCAAGTTTTCCTTTTCTTTTCTGTTGTTTTGTTTTGTTTGTTTGTTTGTTTTTGATTTTGTTTGAGATGGAGTCTTGCTCTGTTGCCCAGGCTGGAGTGCAGTGGTTCGATCTCGGCTCACTACAACCTCCACCTCCCAGGTTCAAGTGCTTCTCCTGCCTCAGCCTTCCGAGTAGCTGGGATTACAGGTGCACACCATCACGCTCTACTAATTTTTGTATTTTTAGTGGAGACACGGTTTTGCCACATTGGCCAAGCTGGTCTCAAACTCCTGACCTCAAGTGATCTTCGCACCTCAGCCTCCCAAAGTGCTGGGATTAGGCATGAGCCATCGTGCCTGGCATTTCCTTTTCTGATTGAGAAGAAGTTGCAATTACTGTTGAGGAGACACACAGGGGATGGAGGTTGGTTTGAGTAAGGTAAGGCTTATGGACCATCAATGAAATGAACAGCTAATTGGAAACTTGAGAACAGCCCCTTCTCCCACAAACAAGAGTAGGAGACAGTACTAGCCAGCAAAGCTAGGTATCCTAAATGAGTTTGAATGCTGCTTCAACTAAACTCATTCCCCTACCATGCCTGGTTATTTAAAAGTACACAAAACGTGAAACATCCAGACTTCAAACTGGAGCTTAAGGGATCCCAAGAAGGATGACAAGTAAGTCTAGAAGTAACCTATACTACATTAGAGCAAGTAGAATGTCTGGACAGTGCCACTCCCACATGATCAAGATAAAAGACAGGCATAGTAAATATAGAAACATAATACAGCCAACAATAATGCAAAAGAGTGAAAGAAAAAGGGGGGATGGGGAGGGAGGAAGAGAAGAGAGAGATTTAATTTAAGAAACAAAGAACTTAATCCAGAAGAAAATATAGGGTAGAGACACAAAGAAATTTTTCAAGTTGCTTCACACAATGGATTCATTTAAAATGAAAATAAATTCAATAGAGCTAGAGGTCAAAGACTGGAGGATAAAACAACAGAATTAAATGAAAAGGGAGTTAGTGGACCTAAGGAAATGAATCAAGGACCAAAACAACATCATTATATAACTAATACATAAATTAGAAAGTACAAGTCTCATAATAGATGCCACCAAATATCAAATTACCAACATGTATCAGACTCGATATCATCAGAGTGAATGTAAATGAGAAGGGTGAAGGAATTAAAGTAATTAGGGCTGAGTTTGTACAAAAAAAAAGAGTACAAAGAAAGATGATGCAGTATTAAAATAACTGGCATTCCTGATGCCATAAGCCCACAAATGGGACAGAATATATATTCAAAGTTAAAGAATAGGATACTTTTCTGGGAAAATAAATTTTCAGATTGAAAGACTGTGTTTCCGGGAAACTGAGTACATAAATCTCAAAAGATAGAGATATATCTTATTTAAGATACAAGATGAGGCGTAAAGATATATAAGATATAAGATGAAGAGTAAATTATTTGAACATCCAGAAAGAAAAACCAAAATCAAAACACATCTACAAGAAGTGAAAGGGAATCAGATTTCCATATGATAATATCCAATATCAGAATACAATGGAGTAATGTTACCCAAGAATATTATACAGAATCTTTTATATACAAATCCACTTTGTCAATTATGAAAAGTGCTCAGGAAATACAGCACTTTCTAGAATAAACCTAACAACAAAATCTAAGCAATTAAGAACATCAGCCACCCAGTTAGGCATTGTAGTAAAATAATTGGTGGTATGTTTTGAATATGGTTATATATAGAAATAAAAGTAAACACAATGGAAATAATGGTTACTGAAAAGAATTCCATCATTATAAACCTGAACAGGGTGAAACAAATACTTTAGATACTAAAGATCCAAAGGTGGGCAAATGAGAGGAGGAATGAGAAGGTAAATCTGCTATGAGAGATGTTCTTTTTCAGCAGGGACTTCATCAATTATGCCCTTGAATAAAAACATGAACATGTATGTATTTATTTATTTAGACACAATGTCTCTCCATTGCCCAGGCTGGAGTGCAATGGTATAATCATGGCTCACTGCAGCCTCGACCTCCCAGGCTCAAGTGCTCCTCCCATGTCACTCTCCTGAGTAGCTGAGATTACAGGCGCACGCCACCATGCTTGGCAAATGTATTTATTTTGTTTTAGAGATGGCATCTACTATGTTGCACAAGTTTGTCTTGAACTTCTGGGCTCAAGCAGTCCTCCTGCCTCAGCCTCCTAAAGTGCTGAAATTACAGGCATAAGCCACTATACCTGGTCTGAAAGTTTTTGTTTTTTTGGAAAACTGCCTCTGGAAGTAAACATGCCAAGGTGAAAGTGTTCAATGGTTATGCAAGTATAGATATATCTCTTTTCCTTTTTGCATTTAAAAAATTTCCAAGCCATTCCTATTCAACATAGTACTGGAGGTCCTGGCTGGAGCAATCGGGTAGAAGGATAAAATAAAATGTATCCAAATAGGAAGAGAAGAATTCAAGCTGTCCCTATTTGTGGATAACATGATTCTATATTTAGAGAACCCCAACGTCTCTGTCCAAAAGCTCCTTGATCTGATAAACAACTTCAGCAAAGTTTCAAGATACAAAATCAATGTACAAAAATCAGTAGTATTCCTATATACCAACAACATCCAGGCCGAGAGTCAAATTAGGAACACAATCCCATTCAGAATTGCCACAAAAAGAATAAAATTCCTAGGAATACACCTAACCAGGAAGGTGAAAGATCTCTACAACAAGAATTACAAATCGCTGCTGAAAGAAATTAAATATGACACAAAAAAATGGAAAACATTCCATGGTCACGGATAGGAAGAATCAGTATCATTAAAATGGCCATATTGCCCACGATGGATAAGTGTCAACTTGATTGGATTGAAGGATGCAAAAAATATTGTTTCCGGGTGTATCTGGGTGTTTCTGGGTGTTAACAGAAGAAATTAACATTTGAGTCAGTGTACTGGGAGAGGAAGACCCACCCTCAGGAAGACCCATCCACAATGGGGGTGGGCACCATCCACTCTGCTGCCAGCGTGGCTAGATAAAGCAGGCAGAAGAAGGTGGAAGAAGCTGACTTGCTGAGTCTTCTGGCCTTCATCTTTCTCCTGTGCTGGATGCTTCCTGCCCTTGAACATCAGACTCTAAGTTTTTCAGCTTTTTCACTCTTGAACTTACACCAGTAATTTGCCAGGCGCTCTCAGGCCTTTGGCCACAGACTGAAGGCTACAAAGTTGGTTTCCCTACTTTTGAGGTTTCTGGACTCGGAATGAGCCACTGCTGGTTTCCTTGCTCCTCAATTTGCAGATGGCCTATTGTGGGACTTCACCTAGTGATCATGTGAGTCAGTTATTTTTAATTAACTCCCTTTCATATATACGTCTGACCTATTCATTTCGTCCCTCTAGAGAACCCTGACTAGTACATTGCGCAAAGCAATTTATAGACTCAATGCTATTTCTATCAAACTACTAATCATATTTTTCACAGACTTAGAAAAAAAAACTATTTTAAAATTTACATGGAACCAAAAAAGAAAAAGAGCCTAAATAGCCAAGGTAATCCTAAGCAGAAAGAACGAAGCTGGAGGCATCACATTACCCAATTTCTAACTATACTACAAGGCTACAGTAACCACAGCAGCATGGTACTGGTACAAAAGCAGACACTTAGACAAATAAAATAGAATAGAGAGCCCAGAAATAATGCTGCATACTTACCACCAGTTACTACTACTACAAAACAACATGACAAGCAAAGGGGAAAAGACTCCCTATTTAATAAATGGTCCTGGAATAACTGCCTAGCCATATGCAGAAGATTGAAACTGGACCCCTTCCTGAAGCTATATACAAAAATCAACTCAAGATGGATTAAAGACTTAAATATTAAACCTAAAACTATTTAAAAACCTTGGAAGATAGGCTAGGAAATACCATTCTAAACATAGGACCTGGCAAAGATTTCAGGATGAAGAAGCCAAAAACAATTGCAATAGAAACAAAAATTGAGAAATGGAACCTAATTAAACTAAAGAGCCTCTGCATGAAAAGAAACTATCAAGAGAATGAACAGACAGCCTACAGAATGGGATAAAATATTTGACAAAGGCATAATATCTGACAAAGGCATAATATCCAGAATCTATAATGAACTTAAATTTACAAAAAAAATACTAAACAACCCCATTAAAAACTAGGCAAAGGACTTGAAAAGACACTGTTCAAAAGAAGACATACATACAGTCAACAAGAATATGAAAAAATGCTCAATATCACTAATCATTAGAGAAATGCAAATCAAAACCGCAATGAGATACCATCTCACACTAATCAGAATGACTATTATTAAAAAGTCAAAAAATAACAGGTGCTGGTGAGGTTGTGGAGAGAAGAAAATCCTTATACCCTGCTGGTGGAAATGTAAATTAGTTCAGCCATTATGAAGATTCCTCAAAGAGCTGAAAAGAGAATTGCCGTTTGACTTAGCAATCCCATCATTGAGTATATATCCAAAAGAATAGGTATATATATATATCATATATACATATATAAAAGAATGTGTATATATATATCACATTTTCTTTATCATATATCACATTTTTTATACATGTATGTATATACGTATATATATACACACACATACATATACACATATGCATATATATGTGTGTGTATATATGTATACACACACACACACACACACACACACACACACACACAAACCATGGAGTATTACACAGCCATAAAATAATGAGATCATGTCCTCTAAAGCAACGTGGATGGAGTCGAAGGCCATCATCCTTAGCAAACTAACGCAGAAACAGAAAACCAAATACCACATGTTCTCACTTATAAGCGGGAGCTAAACAACAAGAACACATGGACAGAAAAAACGGAACCACAGACGCTTGGGCCTTTTTCTGAGTGGAGGGTGGGAGAAGGGAGAAGATCAGAAAAAAAAAAATACCTATTGGGTACTGTCCTTATAACCTGGGTGATGAAATAACCTGTAAAACAAACTCCTGTGATGCAGTTTACCTACATAACAAACCTGCACATGTACCCCTGAACCTAAAATAAAGGCTTAAAACATCAACAAATAGAGACTCAGTATTCTCAAAACATAACTCAAAAGAAAAAGGCTATTTAAACAAAGATTTTAAAAATATGCCTTTAATAGTGTGGGGAAATGTCATTTTCCTAATTATAAATGAGCAAGCTAAGAGTGGCTGGCATATTATTATAACATTAAAAACAATTTTAAATACATAAACTATACACACACACACACACACACACACACACATCTCGAAGGAAAACACAAAAGAAAATAGTAGATCTATCCATTCATGTATTCAATTATGTATTAGTCCCATGTTCATTTTTCACAAGAGAAAAATAAGGCGTAGAGAGGTTAAGTACATTGCCCAAGGTCACAAAGTCTTTAGTGGTAAGCAGACTCCAGGCGTCTGTTACCTGGACTATGCCTCAGAGAGGTAAAGATTATCTCTCTGCTGTAATTAAAGCAATAGGTTCCTATCTCTATAGGCTTTGTGATGAGCTGAAAAAAAGCAATATGTCTGTGTAAAAGCTTGAGACTTGCAAAGTGAAATCCATTAACAAATATGATTTTACAATTGAAGGCAACGAAGGGTAGGGTCAGTTATTACAGATGTATTTCCAGACACGCAAGTATATATGACTTCTCAGTTTAATAAAAAAAAGATTCCTCAATAGCAAAAATGGTATATATATATATATATATATATATATATATATATGTAAAATATATAATACATAAAATATATAACATATTTTATATAATATATAAAGTATATATTATTTTATGTATAATATGTATTTCATATTATTATATATATAAAATTATATATATATAAAATTATATATATATATATAAAATTATATATATATATATATATATATATATATATATATATATATATATATATATATCCTACCTGCAGGGATGGCTCACCAGGATAGCCTTAAGGAGTAGGAGAATTCATTGGAAATTGTAAGAGCTTGTGTAAACAGCACATGAGTTATAAATAGTTGATAAACATATTTACCTTCCTTTTCTTTTTATCATATTTGTCCACTGGGGCTTGAAAACAATTCAGAGAAACTGTAGTTGCTGGTGACAAGCATATAAACCCTTCAGGGAGATCATGTGGAGAAAAGAACAACAGAATGTTTTCTACCTCAAATTCGGTGAAAGGAGAACAAACACAGGAAGACCTGGGAAAAGCCACTGCATTAAAAAAATGAAAGACAGGAGCTCTGACTCCCAGCTCTGGCTGTGTTGTAGAGAGAGTCACGGACTCTTTAGAGTAAGTCACTGAACTGTCCTGGATTTCGGTTTCCTATTTTGAAGATCTAGAAGGTCCAGAATACCTTCTGTAACTTCTCATGTTTGCAAACTCAAACATTACTGTGTCAAGTCACTGAACTTTTCTTGACTTCAGTTTCTTACTTTGTAAATTGAGAAGTTTGAACTGTAATCTGTGTTTTCAAGTTATGTGGAATTCCTTCAAGTGTTACTGTAGGTGGAGTGGTTCTTGTATTGCCTTTCCCAACTTTTTAACACTTTCCAGCAAATTAGTGTTATGTTGATCTCTTCTATATACTGACCTTCCACATTAATATAAAGTTCTATCAGAACATTTTCTGCTGCTAAAAAAAGTAAATTATCTGCAGGCTTTTTTTTTTCCAGTTTTAAAATTCTGAGTCTAACATGGAAGTATGTATGGGTAGTTCAATGCTATTCAGCTTGAACAATTCACATAAGGTTGATCTTGAAAGAATAGATAAAATTTTCACTTTGCTTTTTATTTTTTCACTTAATATTTGGCAAGCATTAATGCATTGCTTAAAACAATATATACCAACATTACCATCTCATGAAAATCACAGAAAGTGACTCAAAGGCAGTTTAAGGGTAATTAGTTCAACACCTTATTGAGAAATGACAGTATTTCTTTCAAATCAACACTTACTATGATGTATTTTTAGGATTACTTGGTGAAAGTCTAATTCCAGCATCGATTATATTCCAGCTTTGAGACTCTATTTGTCTTTTCATTCCTATATTTTGGCCAAAAGAGTGTTTAGTTATCTACCTGAAGATAACACGAGAGTTCATAGTAATTTCACTGCTTTATAAGTGAGGATTTCAAAAATCATGGAAAAAGCATTTGTATGTGTGAAACGGACAGGTTAGATTCATAAAATCTCACCACATGAGCCATCTACAAACTTGAATGGTTTCCTGCCCAGTCGATGAAAACAGTCTTTGACCATTTGCTGAATATTTAAAAGCCAAGGAGGAATGATTATAAAATTCATGTGTAATTCATAGTGGTAATTCGGAATAAAACATTTCTATTTCAAAAAGTTTATTTTAGTCGGGAAGAACTCTCATCGAACTTTAAAATGGAATGTATTAATGGGAAATGACAAAGGCATACATTAGACTTTTACAAAATAGCGAAATCTAGTGCATGTTTAACAGCAGGGCAAATCAAAAGAAGTCTAGGGATTTTCATTGACTATTAAGATTTCTACTCTTAAATCCCTGCCATCGGTCTTGCACTTTAGAGGACCTTGCATATTGTAAATAAACATATGCAGCATATGTATGTGTGTGTGTGCCTGTATGTATGTGCACATGTGTGTATTAAGCTATAGATGGCCACCTTTGTCATTTGGGATAAGGCAGTCAACTCAGACACAAAATAATTTGTAACCCTAAACATCTTCTCCTGTGACTAATACTCTTCAAGCCTCAAGGAAACACTTCTTCCTCTCCTCTATATCCATGAACTACAAGGGCCAAAAGTAAGGCTAACTAAGAATTGCTGTAATCTTACATTTTTGTCCTTGCATTTCAGACTGAAATCCTCTTATGCTTAAAATCTCATTGGAAAGGGTTGGAAAGAAAAGCTTGAGGAAATGTTTTATGTAATTCTTCCAGTTTTACAGAATCCTTTCTATACCTTCTCATTCTCTAAAGTATTTGCATAATTGTACTTACCATATTATTCATCAATTAAAGGAAAGCTTGTTAGAAAGCTTATAATCCATCCATTGATTCTGATTAAAAAACATGTGCTTCTCAGAAGCTTCTAAAATATCCCTGGTATATTTTCATACTTATCATTCATATTTACCTTGTTTGTTTCTGTATATACATTTTATATCTGTTCATATGTCAAACATAAGCAGTCACATTAATCAACACAAGACTTTGTGAATCATGCATACATATATATAGCTATAAACATCTATATTCTATAGCCATACTTATGCCCTTGAATGTTTTTGCACTCGTTGACATGCCTTTAACAAAAATGTAACCTGAAATATGAATACTCTTTCTACTATTGCATGCATATTTTTAAAGCTGGTACAAATTTTCTGCATTGTGAAAAGAAAAATAAATTTATTAATTTAGAAGTCAAGTTATGAGTTACTTAAGGAGTTGTTTTCTGTCTGGTTATTTTTTCTTTCTTAGTAAGCCTGAATTTCAGGTGGGGCAGAAATGTAGGCTGTAAGTACTTTGAGAAGAGAACCCTACTTAAGTATTTATTACTTTATATCCTAAAGTAATGAGCCCTGAGTAAATGCTAATTTGATTAATCAACTGGGAGCTATAAAGAGTCTTAGATATCTAGTCCATGCCTTATATTTTATGTACTAAAAAGTTAAGGGTAAATGGCTTATTTCTACGGCATCACACAGTTCATATATATCAGCAGCAATACTAGAACTCAAGCTTCCTGAATTTCAATCAGTGGCATTTCTCTTCTACCAAACTACATTTAAAAATACATACTATGCAAGTTATCAAAGCATTTCAATGGCCTGTGCAGTCACTTCATGATTCCTGAACAAGGAAATATTCATTTTTCTCTTTTTTCCAAACCAAAAAAGAGACTATCTTGCCTTTGCTTTATACATCAAGCAAACATGGAAGGCAAAATGGCACTGACTCCAAATTCTCTTCTTTCATGTTTTGAAGATGCTTCCCAGCAGACTATCTTGTTATTGTCCCTTTGAAAGGAGAAGATATGTTTCTTGTTCTCAAAGGTAATACCTCCTTATTAATTCTTCAATAATCCGGATATTAGTAGGCAAGAACAGTAATATCGAACTCTTTATGAAACATATTTGAAGCTGTCAGTGCCATTACCCATTAGATCTAGGGAAATACATTCTAGCATTTTTAGGCAATTTAAATTGATCCTTCTTTTTTCTTGGCATTCACAGGCACAGTAACAGTACTTTAATGGAAGAGTTAAATGGCATCACAGAATAGTGAGTGTGGTGTGTGAGGATAGCAGGGCTAGGTTTTTATTTATCCACAGAATTAATAGTTTACTAGGATTTCATAGTGCAAAAGTATCTAACTCAGAGTAATGAGATTGTTAAAGCATACACTTTAGGAAGAAACTATCTAAAACACAACTTTGCCATTCAGTGATGTCACATTTCCCTCTTAAAGTCATCTTTGAAATGTAACATGTTAACCAAATGACTTCCAAAACTCTCCTTTGGCAAAGAAAACTCATAAAGTGATCTGAAGTTCTTGGCCGTTTAAAAGGGCAATTTAATTGCTTATGGTGGTTTGCTTATTCAGGGAACTAGGCTTTGGAGAATAAAATGTCAGATGAGAAGTAATCTCCAAGGATTTCTTCCTGGTCCTCTTGTTTTTAATTATTTAATTTTTCATTATATTTTAAGTTCTGGGATATATGTGCAGAATGTGGTTTGTTACATAGGTATACATGTGCCATGGTGGTTTGCTGCACCCATCAACATGTCATCTACATTAGGTATTTCTCCTAATGTTATCTCTCCCCTTGCCCCCCAACCCCCAGCAGGCCCCACTGTGTGATATTCCCCTCCCTGTGTTCATGTGTTCTCTTTGTTCAACTCCCACTTAGGAGAACATGCGCTGTTTGGTTTTCTGTTCTTGGGTTAGTTTGGTGAGAATGATGGTTTCCAGCTTCATCCATGTCCTTGTAAAGGGCATGAACTCATTCTTTTTTACGGAGGCATAGTATTCCATGGTGTATATGTGCCACATTTTTTTTATCCAGTCTAACATTGATGGACATTTGGGTTGGTTCCAAGTCTTTGCTATTGTGAATACTGCTGCAATAAACATACGTGTGCATATGTCTTTATAGAAGAATGATTTATAATCCTTTGGGTATATGCCCAGTAATGGAATTGCTGGGTTGCTGGGTCAAATGGTATTTCTAATTCTAGATCCTTGAAGAATCCCCACACTGTCTTCAACAATGGTTGAACTAATTTACACTCCCACCAACAGTGTAAAAGTGTCCCTATTTCTCCACATCTTCTCCAGCATATGTTGTTTCCTGACTTTTTAATGATCACCATTCTAACTGGCATGAGATAGTATCTCATTTTAGTTTTGATTTGCATTTCTGTAATGACCAGAGATGATGGGCTTTTCTTCATGTGTTTGTTGGCTGCATAAATGTCTTCTTTTGAAAAGTGTCTGTTCATATACTTCGCCCACTTTTTGAGAGGGTTTTTTTTTCTTGTAAATTTGCTTAAGTTCTTTGTAGATTCTGGATATTAGCTCTCTGAAACTATTCCAAACAATAGAAAAAGAGGGACTCCTCCCTAACTCATTTTATGAGGCCAGCATCATCCTGATACCAAAACCTGGCAGAGATACAACAAAAAGAGAAAATTTCAGGCCAATATGCCTGACGAACATCGATGTGAAAATCCTCAATAAAATACTGGCAAACTGAATCCAGCAGCACATCAAAAAGCTTATCCACCATGATCAAGTTGAATTCATACCTGGGATGCAAGGCTGGTTCAACATATGCAAATCAATAAGCATAATCCATCACATAAACAGAACCAATAACAAAAACCACATGATTATCTCAATAGATGCTGAAAAGGCCTTTGATAAAATTCAACACCCCTTCATGCTAAAAACACTCAATAAACTAGGTATTGATGGAACATATCTCAAAATAATAAGATCTATTTATGACAAACCCACAGCCAATATCATACTGAATGGGCAAAAGCTGGAAGCATTCTCTTTGAAAACCAGCACAAGACAAGGAGGCCCTCTCTCACCACTCCCGTTCAACACAGTATTGGAAGTTCTGGTCAGGACAATCTGGCAAGAAAAAGAAATAAAGGGTATATAAGTAGGAAGAGAGGAGTCAAATTATCTCTGTTTGCAGATGACATGATTATATATTTAGAAAATCTCATCTCAGCCCCAAAACCCCTAAAGCTGATAAGCAACTTCGGGAAAGTCTCAGGATACAAAATCAATGTGGAAAAATCACAAGCATTCCTATACACAAATAGTAGACAGCCAAATCATGAACAAACTCCGATTCACAAATGCTACAAAGAGAATAAAATACAACTAGGAATACAACTTACAAAGGATGTGAAGGACCTCTTCAAGGAGAACTACCAACCACTGCTGAAGGAAATCAGACAGGATACAAACAAATGGAAAAATAGTCCATGCTCATGGATAGAAAGACTCAATATCATAAAAATGGCCATACTGCCCAAAGTAATTACAGATTTAATACTATTCCCATCAAGCTACCATTGGCTTTCTTCAAAGAATTAGAAAAAAACTACTTTTAATTTCTTATGGAACCAAAAAAAACCTGGATAGCCAAGACAATCCTAAGAAAAAAGAACAAAGCTGGAGGCATCATGCTACCTGACTTCAAACTATACTACAAGGCTACAGTAACCAAAACAGCATGGTACTGGTACCAAAACAGATATATAAACAGATGGAACTTTAAAACAGAGGCTTCAGAAATAACACCACATCTACAACCATCTGATCTTTGACAAATCTGACAAAAACAAGCAATGGGGAAATGATCCCCTATTTAATAAGTGGTTTTGGGAAAACTGGCTAGCCATATGCAGAAAACTGAAACTGGACCCCTTCCTTACATCTTATACAAAAATTAATTCAAGTCGGATTAAAGACTTAAACGTAAGACCTAAAACAATAAAAACCCTAAAAGAAAACCTAGGCACGGGCAAAGACTTTATGACTAAAACACCAAAAGCAATTGCAACAAAATCCAAGATTAATACATGGGATCTAATTAAACTAAAGAGCTTCTGCACAGCAAAAGAAGCTATAATCAGAGTGAACAGGCAACCTACACAATGGAAGAAATTTTTTGCAATCTATTGATCCTCTTATTTTCAAATCTTATCCTTGGCATTCTTACTGCCTGCACCCTTCAACTTTTATCTCTACATGGATGACCATTATATTCAATCCTGACCTGTCTCAGTGGTTCCACATTTGCAGCTCCCTGGTGGGTTTTTCAGACTCTGTCTCCTTTCTCACTTCAAATTTGCTCATGTCCAGAGTTACTCGTTCCTTGATTAGTTTGCCAGATCCCAAAGCTACTCAAGTACTTATTACAGTGTGCTATGATGGTTTGTTTTTTCCTATTAATTCAATAGTTCTTGGGGAAAGGAATTATGTGTATTCCTATAACTCCCACGCCTGGGCCAAATTCTGCAATCTTATAGAAGCTTCATAAAAGTTTACTAAATCTAATTAAATCCACTACTTCTAAAGATTTAGCTGACAACAGACTTGCTTGGCGTGTTTTAAACATGCAGAATCCTTGGATTCACACCCAGAGCTTCTGATTCAGTGACAGGTTTGAGATGAAACTCAGGAATACACATTTTAACCACCACTTCCATATGCTTTTCGGTTTATGTAGCTCCTAAATCACACTTTGAGAAATTCTGGTTTTACAGAATACAGAGAAATAGGGCTTACTCCAAATCCTGGCATTATCAATTACTTGGCATTTTGATTAGTCTCTCATTAGTAAAACAGGTTATTGGGTTGGGATTTAAAGAGAGAATACATGCAAAGCACATAGCACAGTGCCTAGCACATAGTAACTGTTCAATAAATTTTAGCTACTATTTTTATTTTATCAGAAGAATTTCTGCATTCTATCCATGTCACTCAGTTTGTTATCTATATTTTTCACACTTGACTTTTTCTTTTTTTCACACCCTGCATTTAATCAGTGTCAAGCTTTGACATTCAGCCTCTGTAATACCTATTTATTTTGCTGTTTCTACTCCGACTGCCATTACTAAGGGCAATACAGTTTAAATTAATTTAGCAAACACCCACTGAGCACCCACATGTTAGGCATTGTGTTGGGCACTGCAGCTGCACAGACAATAGATATGCCCTCAAGGAATGGACATTCCAGTAGGAAAAAGAAGGAACATATTTTTAATACCTATATGGTGTGATCATTGCTATTACAGAAGAGGAACAACTACATTAAAACATGAAGGAAAAGTGAAAAGGATCCATAGAACTTGACAGTTTTTATATCCCTTGTGATTAGGATGTGAAATTCTCTGGGGTCCTACCAAGAAAGAGGTGACATAATGACCAATAACCTATGCCAGAGACAGAGAGATGTGGAGGTGAGGCCTAAGGGTCATGCTAGGGAGAGCCTCCCTCTTGGCTAGAGGACAAGTAGAGTCAAGAAGCCTCTTTCCAACCTCTGCCACAGCATGGGCTTGGAATAGGTGGTTTGGGACCTCAGCTCACTCCCAAAAAACAATAATCACAAATATGCAGTAAATCTCCTCTCCAATCCTTTTAACATTCTAGTTGGCTACGAAAGTACAACATAGACCTTCCTCTGGCAAATATTCCTTACAGAGAATGAAAGTGGAGCAGCACAGGAAATTCAAAGATGGAGTTTTGTAATTCACATTTTATGAGACCACATAAAAACAGCAGAAATTATATAAATGTTTTCATTTGCATGGAAAATTAACAACTATAGAATACTGTGTGAGGACAAAATTTCTAAGTTAACTCCATAGAACTGCATAATCTTGGCATTGTGCAGAGACCTGGATGTTAAAATATGACACATCAGTAAACGTGTGAATGCAGGGTTTGATCAGTGGGCTCTGAGAAAAAGAAATCCCACATTGCTGAAAGCTAGAGACACAGACTTTGTGTAATAAATCTATCCAGCAGCTTCTAAAACTATTGGGATGCATGCAAGATGAAATGAATCAGTTAAAAAGCTCCCTGGGTTTGGCGACCTCAACATTTCTCCAAGATATTTTTTCCCTGATGTGACAGCTGATTAGGTGACACACAATTGTGTCTCCAGAAATTTCATCTTTTCTAATGTCAAGTGTCCTTCCCTTACATGTTTGAGTTTTTTTTTTTTAATGCATTTCTACTAATCCAAGGAATAGTCCTGGCTTCACCAATTGACCATCCTCTGTCATCCTATCTGAATGATATTCTGTGAATACTACTCTAATGGTATTAAAAGGCACAGTGTTAAAAGAGCCCAGGCTGAGTAATCACAGACAAGCCTGTGTCTCAATATCTGCTCCTGCCACTTAGTGGCTATGGAATTTTTGGCCAATTAATTCATTCTGATTTATAAACACTTAGTGGTCATGGAATTTGGGGGCAATGAATTCACCTATTCTGGGTCTCAGCTTTCATCTGTAAAGTGAGGATACTAATAGCTATCTAAAGGAGATGATTTTGAGGATAAGAGAGAGAAAGTTCTGCGGAGCTTCTACCTTAATGATAGTGTATAGGTGTTAGGGGCTGAATATGTACTCCTAAACTTTGCGTGTTGAAGCCCTAACTTCCAAAGTAATGGTATTTGGAGGTATGCCTTTTGTGAGGTAAGTAGGTTTAGATTAGGTCCTGAGGGTAGGCGATGATAAGAATAGTGCTGTCTCTGGGAAATAAACGTCTGTTGTTTAAGCCACTCCGTTTATGATATTTTATTACAGCAGCCCAATCTAACACAATAGTAATTATTACATATGTATTATTATTGCCAGTAATAGTCAGAATTCTAAGGTATCAAATATCAAACAGAATTCCCTGTTCTAATTTACTGTACAAGTAAGTTTAGGGACTGGTCTCTTGCTTTATCTCTGGAACCTAGCTTAATGTCTTATAAATAGTTACTCAGTATTTGTTGAGGGCTAAATGAATACATGAATAAATCAAAAGATAACAGCGCTAAATATTGGTAATAATCTCAAATGTACCTGTTGGTTTTGCATTTGAGACTGTATCATCTGTCCATCTCTAGGGTGAGATCTATTTCCAAAGGTAGAGCTTTGACATAATGTTCTTACGTTTTTTCATTTGCTTATTTTTACTCTTCTGTTAACCTTCATTTCCTACCCTTTCCAATGTCAAACATTATAGAACATTTTCACAGTATTTTATCTCATTCAATATTTAAAAAAAAATCCTTTCAAGTGTTTTCATCAGTTGTGCTTTTACAGAAGAAGTGAGTCTCGTGACAGCTGAGTGACATCCTCCACGTTGTGAACCCATAAATGGAATGTGAGAATGAGGCCAAGTCCACCTGATTTCAAAGACCGGGCTTTCAGATAGCATCATTTGGTTTTCTTTGTTTATCAAAGCTTATTTCTGTTGCTACCTATTCATTGAACTTTCTATATCAGTATGGTATATTCCTTCAGAGCTGGTAAATTTTAGGACTTCAATTTTTTTAAGTAACAATTTTTTATGATCTTCTACTCAAAGTTTATGAGAGAGGCTCTTGCGGGACCAAGAGGCAAAGATGCAAATGGATAACAGAGCGAGGCTGTACAAATGACCATGAACAATAAAATCATCTCAGGTTCTGTTTCTTTCAATGTCTACCCTCACTTGTGGACATTGTGCCTTATTAAGAGGTCAGACCACTGTCTTCCTGTTAAGTAGGCAATATATGTCATTTTCTGTGACTATGTTTACTTCCAGTTGTTTCCCTTTAAGCTATCTTCTTCAACTACACATTGCCAGTTCATTTATCCTCCAAATTTTCCTAGGTGGACTTGACACCATTTGCACCTGAATCTAAATTAGAACACAAAGAAACGAAATCCAGGATGGCTTCACTTGCAGTTTAATCTCTAGCTGTGGGATGGAACTCTTTAGGCATCATTGACTGAGTTGACAATGCCTCTTTGAGGAAAGGGTCTTTCCTGATGTCCCCGTAATGGTTTACTCTGTGTAAAGAGAAGTCAGCTCTCTTGCCTGAAACTGATGAAAATAATTCTATGTTTGCAGAGTTTTAAGGATTGATATGGATCCTGCTCTACTACCTGCTTGAAAAATACTCATGTCCCTGCTACCTTGAAAATGTATATCAGCTTCAGACTAATCTTTATCTTTCTAAGGGGCTGAAGGATTCAATTGTACCCAGGATGGAAAGCAATGCCTGAAAGAACACATCTCCAAGCCTCTAAAGCATATTTTGCAAACAGATGTGTTCCAATATTGCTTACACCAACTACTCTGAACACTTCCTTTTCCATTTCAATTTCTGCTTTCTCATTTGCCTTCTCCACGCACAATTAAAAAGCAGATAGGATTAGGGGTGCATATTGAATAGCATTCAGCTACCTATGCTACCTATCTAAGCTGTTAACAAATGCACAGAAATAATACCCAGTGTAGACGTAACCTATGATATATGTTGAAATCACATGAAGTCAGTTTTACTGTATTGAGACACACATGTTCCAAAACATCACAATGTTACAGTGAAGTAGCAGAAGGAACGTTATCTGAAATCAGATAGAAAGTTGCAAAATCAGATATACATAGGTGTGGCTCATAAACAAGAGGTGAATTAATGTAACTGGTAGGTATTTGAATTTTGTATTCCTTCACTTGTTGGTTCAGCTGGGTGCAGTTTTCTCTATTCACCTAGTGTTGCTTGCAGATAAAATCACATATAAGAAAGTGCAAATTTTGCAAGATACTCAAATTGTGCCCTAATAGATCAATCTTGGAAGAAGTCCAAGTTTTCAAAACAAGCATTATAGTAGAACTGACTATACCATAAATTGTGTAGGTACACATCCTAATCTACTTGGGAAAAGATTTTTAGAATCTTTAATATCTTCTTAAATTTTTTGTAAACCTAATACCAAGTGTTTTTAAGCTTGAAATGAATCAGGCACTATAATATAAATCTGAAAGAAAGATAAATTGATACTCTCTAAAGCAATTCTGTAAGATGTATAAAGAGCCCTCGAAATGTGTATTCCCTCTTACCAAGTGTCCAACATCGAGGAATACAGTCTATAAAAATAAGTAGAGTTGGTGACAATGATGAATGAGCATGGATATTCACTGAAGTATTATTTGTAATAGTGAAATACTAAATGCTCTAAGGATAATATGACAACAAGTATGCAAATATGTATGGAAGTGTGTATAAGGATGTCCATTACTGTTTCTAAAGGAGAAAAACTGGATCAAATATACACTACAATGACTGGTTTATTTAAACTAATTATAGATTAATATGAAGCCAATAAAAATGATAGTGCAGTCTATAAAGGCTGCCAACTACCCCGTTACATGATCATACCAAAGAATGGAGCCAGCCCCTGCTGCGTTCATTTAGGCTGCTTCCAAGTTTTCCCTACGCTGCTATAATGTTCCTCTTTAAGCAAGCGGCTTTGAGCAATATGCTCATAATATTTGAGAGACAAATATTATTAAGTTTTCACATTAACCTTTATATTCTTCTCAAATAACAATTATATTAAAATTTTATAAAATACACTTGATTTCATTTTCCACTTAGCACTGGAAAGTCTAATTATATCAGTTTGACCAGGTAATACTGCAGATAGTGAAATCCAGAATCTTTAGACCATATCTAAAATCTTGACCTTAAAACTTTGCTTTCAGCACTGTTTTAGGCACTGAGGATTCAACAGAAAATAAAAGAAATTCCCATTCTCAGGGAGCACATATTGTACTTTAGTGAGATAGAAAATAGTAAGATGAGATCATGTGCATTTCGGGTGGTATGGCCATAGGCTACTTTATTGTATATTTCAAAGTATCTTAAACAGAAGATCTGTAATGTTCCCAAAATTCACACACACACACACACACACACAGATAAATGTTTGAGGTGATGGATATCCCAATTACCCTGACTTGATCATTACATATTACATGCATGTATCAAAATATCACATGTATCCTCAAAATATGTACAACTATTATATATCAATAAATTTTTAAAACAGTAAGTGATAACAAGTGATGCAAAAAGTACATAAAGGAGAAGAGAGGATGTGAAGAATTGTGTAGGAAAGTGGGAAGGACTAGCTAGGGTAGTGTGAATGGGCTATTTAGAGAGTAAGAACATCTGAGGCAGGGAGAACAGCAAATCTCAAGTCAGGAATGTGTTTGAAATGTCCAAGCAACAGAAAAGTTGGCCAGCATGGCTGGTGCAGCAAGAGCAAGAGAGAGAAGAGCAGATGAGCACACCAATGCCAGATCTTTCAGGCCTTATGGACTATTTCCAGAGCTTTGGCCTCTATTCTGATAGAGAAAACCATAAAAAAAAAAAAAGTTGGAGCAGATAAGTGACTTAATATGACAGATTGATCAGGATCACTCTGGTTGCTTGTGTCAAGGACAGAATGTAGAAGAACAGGGATAAAAATAAGGAGATCAGCTGAGAGGCTACTGCCACAGACTAGGGGAGACATAATGGTAGTTTGAGCCAGCATGGCATGGTAGTAGTGAAGGTTCTGTATTTTGATTATATTTTGAAATTAGAGTCAATGGGATTTGTAGATGGACTAGAGGTAAATTGTGAGGGAGGAGAAAGAAAGATGTTGAAAGTGACTTTGTATTATTTTCTTTGGGCCTGAACAAAGAAATAATGCATTTGATGTAATACTAAGATGGGAAATGTTTCTGGAGAGGTATGATGACATAAGGAGGCTGTGAAGAGAAATGAGAAATTTGGAAACAACTAGGCAAATGTGTATGGAACATACATGAATGTATGAATAGATATCATGTTATACATGAGATATCTATTAGATATCTAAGCAGAGTGTATATGACTCTAAAGCTCGGGGCAGAATTTTGGGATATAAATAAACAATTTGAAAGCTATCAACACAGAGACAGTATTTAAAGCTAAGAGACTGAAGAATATCATCTTCTCTCTCAAAAAGAGAGAAGAGAAGTGAGAACTAAGAGGTGGGAAAAATCCAACATTTGGCATCAGGAGGATGAGATGAAACTAGCAAATGAGACTGAAAGGAGTGGCCAGTGAGGTGTCCCAAAAGAAAAATGAAGATTGGGTTTCATGAAGGAGGGTATGACAACCATGCCAAATATCGCTAATAAGTAAGTTAGGGCCTGAGAAATAACCATACAGGTCATTGGAGACCTTAATAAGCAAAGTTTTGTTGGATTGTTAGAAAAGAAAGTGAAGACAGACTGTATAAGACTACATTATAGAGAAGTTTTATAGTAAAAGCAACTAAAAGAATAAGGTGATATCTAAAAGGAAAGGGAGTTCAAAAAGTGCATTCTTTTAAGATAGGAGAGTATTATGGCATATTTGTATGTGGTTGAGAATGATCTAGCACAGAGGGAAAAATAGATGATGCAGGAGAGACAGAAGACAGATGCTGCAACAATGCTGTTAGCGTCTCAAGGAGGAATGGGAACCAGTGTGCATTGATAGAGAGGCTGAGACAGCATGCAGGACGCAAACATAGATTGGATATATTTAGAATACATGGACACTCTCTTCTGATGACTTCTATTTTCTCAGTGAAATGGAAAGCAAAGTCATCAATTGAGAGCAACATATGCAAGACGCAGTGAAGGAATGAGGAGAAAGGAAACATTGCGAAAGAGTCACCCATCTCACAGTGCTTGGGAAATCAAGTGGTGTTAGATCACCAAACACCGTTAAGTCTCACTTGAAGCTGGGAATCAACATAATTTAGGGAGACCAGCCAGCAAGGTCTTGGGTTGTCTTCCACCCATGTTTGGCTTCAGGAGT